>NC_000010.11:4706969-4858484 GCF_000001405.40 Homo sapiens | reverse complement strand
TTGCTTACATGACTATCTCCACCATTTAATATTGTGGTAAAGACCAAAGACAATTCATCTATTCATTTTTAATGGGGAATATAGGATTCAGCCTGCTGTAGGCTCAATGAATGAATGAATGAATGAATGAAGAAATAAATGAGTGGGTCTATATAAAAACAGTACCCAACTTTCCTTTTTTTCTTCATATATGTAAGATCTACTCATATGCTTACTGACTCCAATTTTCAAATGGCCTAAAATTGATCTTCTCAAATTTGTTTCCCTGGAGTAGTTAACACTATGAGCTACGTCAAACAAAGTCAAAGAATAAGTATGACTCATTTTGACTCGTTTTCCTGAAATGTCAATGAAAGAAATTGACAACATAGATAATATTTATATTAAAACTAACATGGTAAAATCAACAAACTAACTTTACATCCTAAGGAACTAGAAAAAGAACGAAACCGAATCTAACAGAAGGAAGGAAATAATAAAGACAAGAGAAGAGATATATAAAATAGAAAATATTTACAAAGGTAGAAATAAACAACAATGAAACAATGAGTTGGTTCTTCAAAAAAGGTCAACAAAATTGAAAAACATTTAGCTTGCTTTACTAAGAAAATTAAAAAATGATAAGACTCAACTGAAATCAGAAATTTAAAAACTCATTTAAATAAAAAAAAGTATGAGAGAGTAGTGTAAAAAGTTGTATGCCAGCAAGTTAGATAACCTAGATAAAATGAACAAATCCATAGAAACACATAACCTACCAATACTGAATCATGGATGAATCTTTTTAAAAATTTTTATTTTTATTTTTAATTTCTGTGGGCATATAGCGGGTATATATATTTATGGAGTACGTATTAGTCTGTTCTTGCATTGCTATAAAGAAATACCTGAGACTGGGTAATTTACAAAGAAAAGAGGTTTAACTGGCTCACAGTTCCACAGGCTGTATAGAAAGCATGATGCTGGCATCTGCTCAACTTCTGGGGAAGCTTCAGGAAACTTACAATCATGGCAGATGGGAAAGAGGGAGGGGCACTTCACATTGTTGGAGCATGAGGAAGACAGAGAAGATGTGTGTGTGGGGGGTACTACACACTTTTAGATAACTAGATCTTATGAGAACTCATTCACTATACAGTACCAAGTGGGGGATGGTGTTAAACCATTCATGAGAACTCCAACCCCATGATCCAATCACCTCCCACCAGGTTTTACCTCCAACACTGGGGATTACAATTGAACATGAGATTTGGGTGGGGAAACAGATCCAAACCATATCAGGGTACATAAGATGTTTTGGTACAGCCACGCAATGTGAACTAATGAATTATGGATGAGTCTTGAAAACAATATGGTAAGTGAAATAAGCCAGGCATAAAAAGGCAAATATTGTGTGATTCTACCTATATGAGGTCCCTAGAGGAGTCAAATGTATAGATCAAGAAAGTAGACTTGTGGTTGCCAGGGGTTGGAGGAGGAGGGAATGGGGAGTTATTGTTTAATAAGTAGAGAGTTTCAGCTGGAGAAGATGAAAATACTCTGGAAGTGGATGATGGTGATGGTTGCACAACAATGTGAATGTACTTAATACCACCGAACAGTAGAGTTCTACAGTTGATTATAAACCATCTTCTAAAGAGGACCAAAACAAGGCAAAAATTGTCCATGGATGACAAAAGTCTCAGGACAGTTACAGTCAAAAACATAATTGACAAAGAAATTTGGTTACCTCTGTGCCATGGAATGATTTTATGTAACAACTAGTGTATTAATAACATACACTAAGTCATATCAGAATTATAGCAGTTTCCCATAATTTTGGAACATATACTAATAATACATTTATACAAACACACCTGAAAGAAAATCAAACACCATTTCATATTTGACAATGCTTCCTGTATGACTTTTATACCAAATAAGTCAACTGTCACTGTTGCATTAGTGCATTATTGATGTCAGACCTAATTCTTAATAAAACCTTATAGATAAATGTATCCAATCGTATTCACTTTGACCATAAGGTAAGATTCTTATAAAGCTTTTATAACCCTTTATAATTTTTGTTAAAGAGCAGGTCATAAGCAGGTTTTTGCTCTAAGAAAAACCTGTTGTGCTTTTATTCCAATATTCAGTCTACAAAAAGCTAGATAATACCCCTTTAACTTTAGCCAATATGTTCACAAACAGAATTTCTTTTACAGGATTAATTTTTCACAAACCTTCCACGACTAGCTTAAACCTTCAGCTTTACTCTAACTTAAGACAATTATTTAACCCTTTAGCAGAAAAATCTACATTCCCATGACTTCTTATAGTCTTTTACCAAAAACATATTCTACTTTCTTTACATACCTTGCATGTAGAACAGTTTCTCCAGTAGTCTCAAATATATGTTACACTGTTAACTCTAAGCGACTTTTACTTTTGGTGAAAAACCTTGGTAAGTTTGGGATTTTAATTTTGTACTAGGTGTGCAGGCTAGGACAGCAGACAGAAGTTCAGGTAAGGGCTGACTGTTTCCTGCACAGCTAGGGGGCATGGCTCTCCACATGTCCCCAGGCCTTATCTAGAATCGAATGCTCCGAACTAGGTAAATTGAACAATTTTCAAAAGTCTAAGAAGCAGTTTATGCCCTTAAAGCATTTAGCAAACCTAATATTTGACCTGCCTAATTTAGACCAAATGTATTTATTTTACCAATAATCTTTAAAACTGTCTTTATTTCCCAAAGATTACTTAAGTCACATGAACTAAAAGGCATTACACTTTTTATTTTTCTGACAAAATGTTTGATTTAAGCTCTTATTCTTTTTAAGCCAATAAATTAAAGCTCTTTCGTATGTAAACATTACATGCACAACACATACAAATACAGACAGAGAGAAGATAAAGGACTCATTCCCTAAGCCAGGAATTGGACCTGAACCTGGGCTGCCATTGTGATGGCAGAAACCAAGAGAAAGTACTGCCACATGGTTACAAGGTCAAGCTCGCAAGGACACACAAGACAAGGGGGAAACCTCATCCGGTTTTTTTCTGGGACCTGCAGCAAAGTTTATAACTGACACGTCTGCTTGGCCATCTTGAACAGCAGGTGTATAGCTGTCCTAAGCCCATATTCTATTCTAAGATACTCCTCCTTATGACAGAACAATACAGAAAGACACACAAAGCACATCAGATTTGCCCCAACTTATGACTAGCCTCACAAATCCTTTTTTCCATTAATCAACACTTTACAAAGAAGAGAAGATAAACAGTTATTTTTACCATTCATTCAACCCATTTGCAGGGATGGTGAAGCACTGCCTGAGGCAGGGTGGGAAAGGCAAGGTGCTCAGGGAGGACAGAGAAAGACCCACCCAAAGGCAGCTACACTGAAAAGTTCAGGTGGCAACTTGTGGTCATGAAGCGATCTTTTCCAGCAGTCCCATCAGCTCTCAAGTTTCCCTTCTTAGGGAGGAAAAAGCTCCCCATGTCCCATGATCCTGTACATGTCTAATCCTGTCACCCATAGCCATCAGCAAAGAGGGCAAGGCAGATTATTCCAAAGACAATAGCAGTTAACATCCCATAGTGCCAAACCCATTCTTAGCCGAAAGAGACTTTACCCAGAGGGGCCTCTAACCCTCCTTAGTTGGGCCTCTAACCCAAGGTCAGTCAAGTGTCCTTGCCTTTTATGAAGAGGGGCCTCTAACCTACTCTGTCTTAGGAGAGACCCTAACTCCCCTAAGTTAGGCCTGCTACCAAATCCCATTCTTTACCTGGGTATACACACCCCACTTACCCAAAGTCCGCTGATCACTGCTGTAGTCTATTTCCTTTGGGTGGGAGGTCTCCTCAGTATCAGCCCTTTTGTGGTTCATGAGAAAAATGTTACTGGACCCCACCCACCACTTACCCAAAGTTAGCCTCTGGGTCGGGGCGGGGGGTTCCTCACTATAGTCCCTTCAGTGGTCACAAGAAAGATGTTACAGCAAAGGGTCTGGAAGAAGACCCCAAGAGAGGGTTCTTAGATCTCGCACGAGTGAATTCAGGGCAAGTCCACAGAGTAAAGTGAAAGCAAGTTTATTAAGAAAGTAAAGGAGTAGGCCAGGTGCGGTGGCTCATGCCTATAATCCCAGCACTTTGGGAGGCCAAGGTGGGCAGATCATGAGGTCAGGAGTTAAAGACCAGCCTGGTCAATATGGTGAAACCCCATCTCTACTAGAAATACAAAAATTAGCTGGATGTGGTGGCATGCACCTGTAGTCCCAGATACTCGGGAGGCTGAGGCAGAAGAATCACTTGAACCCGGGAGGTGGAGTTTGCAGTGAGTTGAGATAGTGCCACTATACTCCAGCCTTGGCAGCAGAGCATGACTCTGTCTAAAAAAAAAAAAAAAAAAAAAAAAAAACAGTAAAGGAGTAAAAGAATGGCTACTCCATAGACAAAACAGCCCCAAGGGCTGCTGGCTGCCCAGTTTTATGGTTATTTCTTGATGATATGCTAAACAAGGAGTACATTATTTCTGCCTCCCCTTTTTAGACCCTATAGGGTAGCTCCCTGACATTGCCATGGCGCTGGTGGGAGTGTAGCATTGAGGACGACCAGAGGTCACTCTCATCGCCATCTTGGTTTTGGGGGATTTATTGCAACCTGTTTTATCAGCAAGGTCTTTATGACCTGTATTTTGTGTGACCTCCTATCTCATCCTGTGACTTAGAATGCCTTAACCATCTGGGAATGCAGCCCAATAGGTCTCAGTCTCATTTTACTCAGCCCCTATTCAAGGTGGAGTTGCTCTGATTTAAATGCCTCTGACAGTTGTCCCCACTTTCAGTTGTTCCATGTTTCCAGACCAAACCAAAGTCTATCTCACTTATACGGATTGGTGTCTTATGTCTCCCTAAAACATATAAAACTAAGCTGTAACCAGACCACAATGGGCACATGTCCTCAGGATCTCCTGAGGCTGTGTCATGGGTCATGGTTCTCATATTTGGCTTAGAATCAATCTCTTCAGATATTTTACAGAGTTTGGTTTTTTTTTTTTTTTTGGCAACAAGTTCCTCATTGCAATATTGCAATTAACCTTAAACAAACTACTGTGTGTCCAGTCTAATGTATCAAAGAAATACAATTATCTGAAAAAGCTCTAAATATGCCTCCTTTTTCCAACTACTAATTTATGAGGCTGGGGTTTTTTCATGAAGTTTAGCCAAGACATTTTGATTGAATGCAGACTCAGATATGAAATCTACAAAGCCAGACTTATTAAATAAGTTTGCAAACATATAAAACAACGCCAATCTTGTAAATATTTTTCTTTTGCCTTGGGGAATATATTATGAGAGTTTGGCTCTGGTTACTATATGCTACAATAGTTTTTAGGGGCTTACTTTCCCCATTGCTTTGTAAATGATTCTAACTCCTAATTGAATTCAATTTCTTTGTTTCTTCTAGTAACATCTATCCCACTCTGATCATTTCCTGAGGTTTCCTAAATGTTCTTTTGTCTTAAGACATAGCCCCACAACCTCTTTTATCTCTTCAGCTTTAAAATATCCCTCAAGGTCACAGACACACACAGAAGGAAGACCATGTGAGGACACAGAAGGAAAAGTCCTGGAGAGAGGCCTCAGAAGAAACCAAATCTGTTAACACCTTGACCCTAGACTTCTAGCCTCTAAAACTGTGAGAAAATGGATTTCTGCCGTGTAAGCCAAAAAAAAGAATAAAATATTTTTAGAACAAAAACAACAAAATAAAATGAAAATAAAAAAGCAGCAGCAATTCCAGCAGACCTTGCCAATCCATCTCTGTTGTATTTTCTGCTTGCAAACTGTCCTAACCTGCTTCAGCGTAAATTCATTAGACACCAGGTGGGGTGGCACAGTGGTGAAGGTCTGTCCCTGCAGCTGTCACAACTCAATCCCACTTAATCTAACTTAATTTCAGAGATTCTCTTCCTTTGGGTAGTCTCTAGCTAACGGTATTCTCCTTCCATTGATGGAGCTATTTCTGTCTTATTATTTTACAAGAATTAATCGCACCACAGTTTCTGTTGTTGCCCAGCATTTGTTCAGGGCCCTTTGTGCCTGCAGAATCTTCTTCACTAATGAGGGCCGTGATCTATCTTGACAAGAGAAGGAGCCTTTTTCATGCTCTTCAGCTCTTTGAGAATTTTCCACTTCCCCCTAGAGATGCTGATTTTTCTAGCCAAGAAATTGCTGTTTCCGTATCTCCTTCTGATTTAAATATACCGCCTCTGTTTAAAATCAGGGCTGGAAGTAAATTAAGCATATAATGGCTTGAACTCGTGTGACTCACCAATCCAGTCTCACAGTAATTGTTTTTCAATGATTTCCCAGGTGAAGTAATGCTGGTCACCATTGGAATAGAGTTTTGCAGGTTTAATGAGCTCTTCTGTTTCTTTCATCCAAATACTCGTCAATACTGCCAAGAAATGTTTGATTTTCCACTGGCGTCACATGGAACGGAGCTGTGTGTTCAAAGGGTCTGGCACTGTCACTGGGCCACATGCCAGTCCTGTGGGGTGGAATGTGTCCTATCTTCTCGGGAATCAACACCAAAAGTCTCACCCTCTTATTTACATAGTTTAAAAAGATTAATTCCAAGAGAAAGAGTACCTAGTTAACTGTTTCCCACATGGTATGTAATTAAAAGCCCAGCCTCTGAAGCCAGATTTCCCGAGTCAAATTCTACTTACATCACTTTACTAGCTGGGTATTTGCGGGTAATTTACTTAACTTCTCTATTCCTTGGTTATTTCATTTATAAAACAGAAATAATGGTAAATCCTACCTTTCTGTGAAGATTCAGTTAAAACCTGTAACATACTTATAGAATAGTACCTGGCACACAGAAAGCATCGAGTTAGTACTAGCTAATGTTAGGGAGGGATTGGTGTTGGAGCATGGATATAATTCTAAGTGGCAGAGGCGATACGTGACAGAAGTGCACATTAAAAATTGTAGTTTTCCTTGTTCTCCATGTGTTCAAAGTACCAGAAACCAGTTGGTGAAGACAGGCTTCCAGTCCAGCTCTAGCCTCCTAGTGAGGACTGCCAGGCTATGGAAACTGGGCCTAGAGTCACGCCCATTAGCCCTCTCTGCCCAGAGCAGAATCCAACCGGGAGTGACAATGACCACAGTATGGTGGATGTCACATCATCTAATGTTGCTAACCTAGGTCTGGATAGTTGATTTGCCCCAGTGTATGGATACGTAAAAGAATTCAGTCCTGTGAAAATATGCTGCATAACAAGAAAAAGGAACACAATGAAGACACAGGGTCTTGATCAATTTCATGATATAAAATGAAAATGTGCCCAAACCCAGCCAGAGCTGGTCGCATCACATGTCACTGTTCTGTGATCGCCTCCACATGCGTGCCTCTCCCATTTCAACTTGGGTGTTTAAGGGCAAGACCAAGTCTCCCTCATCTTTATAACTAAGGAATAACAATAAAGAAAGCTTGTTGGAGAGCTGGGGTTGAGCTTGAAGCATTGTTTTAGACACATAAAGTTTAAGGTGCATATTAGATGTCTGTGTGAAGAAAAGGAGAAATGGAAGAAAGAGAAAAGATGGAGAAATAAACGTGCTAAAATGCGAATTTTATCATTGATTAAAGTTGGGAACTAATAAATAGTGTCTAAATGCACAGTTCCAAGATTGTGCACATAGTCACCCTGCGGCACCCACAGTGAACTCATAGGAATGCCATGGGGGATTTCACCAAAGACATACAAATGGCCAATAAGCACATGAAAAGATGCTCAGATCATTAGGCAGTAAGGAATTGTAATGAAATCCACAATGAGACACCATTGAACACCCACTAAAACAGCTGTAACAACAACAGGGGCAGACCAAAACTAATGCTGGCGAGGGTGTGGAGAAACCGGAACCTCGCACATTGCTGATGCGACTGTAAGCCTGTGCACTTTGGGAAACAGTTGGCAGTTTCTCAAAACAATCAAACATAAACTGCCATCAGTCAGCGAGGCCCTGCCATCCTCCCCAAGGTCTCTTGCTCCTTGATGCCCATTTGATGCCCATCCACACCTCCCGAATCTGTTTCCAGCTTTTTAAGCCTTTGATTACCACTTATCCTTGGATTTTCCATTCAAATAAAATACGAAAGTGCCAATGAGGAGAAGCAGCTACTGAAACGAGTATCTGAGTATCTCCCAGTCTTAAAGTCAGGAGAGATGCCCACAATCATTTGACGCAGAGGGTCCCTTAAGGGCACACGTTTACACCTCCTCTGTGGACCTTGGTCTCCAGGCCCCAGAGTGGGGAAGAACTTACACAGAAGTCACATTCCCTAGAGAAAAGCAGGGAACCAAAGAAGGGGAGGGCTTGTCAGCTCCACTCAGAATGAACAGACAAGAGGGGCCGGGTTATCAATTACCATCTGAAAAGGGAACTGGGAAATACTGCTCAAGAACGAGGCTGCGTAACTTCTGTGAAACTTTTTAAGCTTTGCAGTTGCCCAGTGTTTGCCTATTTTTGCTATCCATTGTTTCCTTCCTCACTGTGATTGTACAAAGTTGAAGAGGTCTTAAAATCAAAGACAGTAAAAGGCTGCCATCTCCTGTTAAGAGCCGCAGATGCACTGGACCATTAAGTGCTTCCCAGCGCCACCTGGTGGCCAGCTTCACTCAGTTTTCATGCCGGCTGGAAGTAAATCCATGAAATGCAAATAACGTAGTGGATCCTCATTGGCCAGCTATCGTGAGACACCTGACGTATTACTGTTAACCAACTCACGCTACTGTGCAATGGAGCGCTGAGACTCATTCCTCCCAACTGCAACTGTGTCCTTGCTGACCAACCTCTCCTCATCAGCCATCCACCCCTGCCCTCCCCAGCCTCTGGTAACCACCATTCTACTCTCTACTTTTAAGGTCAATGAACAATGGTTTAAGTATAAGTGACAAGGAAAATTCACAAAATAGCAGTTAGATTTTTGACTCTGTGGGAGATAAAATACAAGTCACACACCTACACACGCATGTGTTCACAAGAGTGCTACATGCAGATGACTGTGTCACCTGCTGCATGGCACTATGCCACTGAATCCTAACACCTCTAGGTAGACAGTGACAAAGAGTTTAAAGGTTTAAAAGGTTAAGTAATTTGCACAAAGTCACACAGCTAATGAATGATAAGGAGTCACGAACATGGAAAAATTAAAGGTCCATGGTGGTGGACAGGGCCTGATCGTAGGAAGGTCAAGAGACTCTCCCATTTCCTCAGTCCTTTGTAAACAGTCTTCTGATTAAACTCTCCCTGGAAATTTGGTCAAACCATGACACCCCACCCTCAATCCTACCCCCACTAGGGCGAGGCTCCCATGAAGCTCTTGCACCAGTCATGTCTTTTCGTTTTGGTGACACCCGCAGCAAAGTCCTCTCTTGAGGCCAAGCTAGAAGGTTTCTACACATCCCTGCACATCTGGAAGGCTGGGCAGGGAGGTGGATGAGAAACTGAGGAATGAGGCAATGGCAATGATACTGGTCGCAGTAACAATGCATTCTTCCTAGAACATAACTTGGGCCAGATGCTGTCTCCACAACCGGGAGGTGCTGCAATTCCTCCACTGAGTGGACAAGGACACTGAAGGCTGGGAGGTGAGGCAGTCTGCTCAGGATCACAGAGCTAGAAAAGCACAACTTTTATCTGCAGAACCCACACCTCTGACTCAGCTGGCCTGCTTGTGATAGAGTGAAAATGGGAAGTGATGTGGAGGGGAACTGTCCCCAAACAGTCCCCTTCAGCCACTGGGCAACACCTCCATATCTTCCCTGAACCTGATGCAGAGGGAGGAGGAAATGAGAGGCTTGTTTGGAGGCTGATGTGGGGGACACAAGAAGCGGGAAGAGACCATGGAGTAGACATCAATTTCTTTCTGGCTTAACTCATTTTGAATAGGAGCCAAGGGCCTGTGAGTTGAGAAGTTATATCCCTGGAGATCCGGTATGAATCCCAGGGCACAGGAGCTAGGCCAGATTCACTGAGCAGACAGCAAAGACAGGGATCATGGCGTCTGGACCACAGGAAGTCCATTAACCCACACCCTCTACCAACGCCTGGGCGTGAACACCATGCTCTGCAGGGCCTCCTTCTGATACATGAATCTAAACAGGCTGAATGAGCAGATGTGAGAAAGTGAGCTGTATTTCATCTCCGCTATGGGGGTTCCCCAGGTATAATCTGACTTATCAGAAGACCGTATTAAAAACTAGTATTTAGGAATTAACCAGCTACTTGGGGGGCTGAGGCAGGAGGATCACTTAAGCCCAGGAGGCGGAGGTTGCAGTGAGCTGAGATCACTTGACTATACTCCAGCCTGGGTGACATAGTGAGACTCTGTCTCAAAAAAAAAAAAAAAAAGAAATTAAAATTCAGATTTTTAAGGAAGAAAAAAGCCTCTTTATTGAACTGAAACAGTGTCCCAGACTTATCCCATTTTCCTTCTCACTGGGGGAAGGGAAGGACTCTGCTTTAGAATAACCTGGGGGTCACTGGCAGGGCACAGAAGGAAGTGTAGGTGACGCGGGCTGGCCTGGGGCACAATGGGTGGAGCTGCGCAATGGGGCAGAGACACATTACACTGTTTCCTCAGCTCTGTAGATGGCTTAAATAACTCCATAAGATAAAGTTTTCTTAAAATGTGAAGGCAAATTTCACTGATGACTCATCAGTGTATTTGTTCAGAGTAGAGGCCACACAGGCTGTCTTGGAGAAACCCCATTGCCTTCACTTAGAACACACTCAATTCTCCAGATTTGTCAGAGAAGGTGGCTCTTACATCCCCCTCTGACTGTGTGGCTCCTGTCCCAGGCACAGCTGCCCTGGCGCTGTGATGACAGAGGAGGGTCAACATTGCCAATAGTGTCTGTGCATCTGGGCTGAGCAGAAACAAGGAAGGGGAAGCGTCCTCAGTATTCTATGTGGAAAGGATAGTCTTTGTGATTTTTAGTTCTGAAAAACAGAAAAACAAATCAAAAATAGGAACAAAGAATGATTATTTTTTAAGAGAAACATTTTAAATGGTATATACTTTTAAACTCCCCAGTGCATGAAATTAGCTTCATTCAGTGGCTCATCTTCAAACAGGAAAGAATTATAATGAGAAAGTTTAATTAATCTAAAATGTGTATGATAAATACCTATTCAGACACCAATCATTCAATCTGTATATTCTTCCCTCTGTTTTAAAAAGAAGGAGCCATATTTACATGGGGAACATGGCCAGTCGGAGATTCCTGTTTAGGCTGAGGATGTTATCCATATCGTGCTGTGTTAATTCAAAATCAAACACCTGGAACCAAAACACAATGTTTGTAGAAAACTTAGTTTAATTCACATTTAATGGAGCACATGTTACCTACATAGCACAGTGCTAGACCTGCAAGGGACACAAAGATGTAAAACAAACACTTCATCAGACACTTGGAACTTCCCTGAATCACAGCCTGGATTCCCCAAATGCCCTTTGATTTTGATCATGTGACTGGTGTTGGCTTGGCCTTGGCTACATTTAGGAAGCCTTGGACAGATGGAAATATATACTGCACTCATCTTAGTGGAATAAAGGACATATGGGAATTGTTAAAAGTTATAGCGGCTGGGCGCGGTGGTTCACGCCTGTAATCCCAGCACTTTGGGAGGCCAAGATGGGCAGACCACGAGGTCAGGAGTTTGAGACCAGCCTGGCCAATATGGTGAAACCCCATCTCTACTAAAAATTTAAAAATTAGCCGGACATGGTGGCATATGCCTCTAGTCCCAGCTATTCAGGAGGCTGAGGCAGGAGAACCGCTTGAACCCAGGAGGTGGAGGTTGCAGTGAGCCGAGATCGCACCACTGCACTCCAGCTTGGATGACAGAGTGAGACTCCATCTCAAAAAAAAAAAAAAGGATGGCACAGAATTTTTCCCACTGACTCTGCTACCCCTCAAAACCCCAACAAAACAATTTGTTCCATACACCTGCCAACTAGGGACCCACTTGGCCCTGGGACTATGAACTCTAACAGTACCCATATCACAGAGTACATTTTCTGAGTGATCCATTTTTCTTCCTTGAAAATAGTATTCTTCTCAGCCCTTCCCTCCCCTTTTGTTGTCCCCACACACTGAGGAACAGGACCCATGGCCACAGCATCAGCATCCACCCCGGCCTGGCAGAGTGGCTGTCTTGCGGCGGGAGGAGGGGTGCACTGAGTGATTCCAATGCAAGGACCTGGAGCACCCCAGGCTCTTCCCCACAAGAGCCTTCCCCTCCTGAGGGCAGGAGAAAGTAGCCTCAGCGTGTCATCTGGAGGTAGTGGGGAGTGCTGGGGCCGGGGTAGGCGGATTCTTGGGTTTAAGGGGAACAGCAAGCAGTTCTAGAAGACTCCTTATAAAGGGTAGGCAGCCTTGCAGCAGCAGTTCTGAGCGGCACTGGGGCCACAGGGGGCGGGCCGGGGCAGCCCCCTGCACTGGATGCCTTTCTCCTCCCTGGTGAGTCTTGTGGACCTGGCTCCCACCTCCTCCTGACAGCATAAGCACTTCCTCCGGCCCCTCCTAACCCGCCGCTGCTGTCTGTCCTCAGCCATCAGATCACTTCGGCTTTGGCCCTCAGGTCTCACGTCAGCCTGGTCCTGTCTCACTGCCTGAGGATGGCATTTCCCCTCAGTGTGTAGCAGACCTAACAGAGGAATGGGGGCATCTCAGCTGGGCCCAAGGTCCCCGTGTCACATTCACTTTTGCTAGGCCATGGGGATCCCGGGCATTGAGAGCCACGACGGCAGAAGGGCAGAACTGGGGCGATGTGGCCCCCTGCCACCTGCTGAGCTGCTCACTCGGTGGCTCCTCCCATGGGAGGGTCAGATAATCTTCCCCAGCCTATGTCCTCCCAGGGGCAATCCTAGCTGCCCTGCAGGGCACAGAGGGCACCTTAGGCCAGGCCCCCATTGAGGGGTGACAGCATGCTGGCAGCCCCCATTGAGGGGTGACAGCATGCTGGCAGCCCTCACAACCCTCACTAGCTCTCCGGGCCTCCTCTGCCTGGGCTCCCACTTTGGCGGCACTTGAGGAGCCCTTCAGCCCACCGTTGCACTGTGGGAGCCCCTTCCTGGGCTGGCCGAGGCCGGAGTCGGCTCCCTCAGCTTGCGGGGAGGTGTGGAGGGAGAGACGCCGGTGGGAATCGGGGCTGCGCGTGGTGCTTGCAGGCCAGCACGAATTCCGGGTGGGTGTGGGCTTGGTGGGCCCGGCACTCGGAGCGGCTGGCAAGCCCTGCTGGCCCTGGGCAATGAGGGGCTTAGCACTCGGGCCAGCGGCTGAGGAGGGCGTGCTAGGTCCCCCAGCAGTGCTGGCCCACCGGCGCTGCGCTCCATTTCTCGCCAGGCCTTAGCTGCCTCCCCGCAGGGCAGGGCTCGGGACCTGCAGCCCGCCATGCCTGAGCCTCCCCTGACCCTCCGTGGGCTCCTCTGCAGCAGGAGCCTCCCCAACGAGCACCGCCCCCTGCTCCATGGCACCAGGTCCCATAGACCACCCAAGGGCTGAGGAGTGCCGGCACACCGCCCGGGACTGGCAGGCGCCTTCACCTGCGGCCCCGTGCGGGATCCACTGGGTGAAGCCAGCTAGGCTCCTGACTGGTGGGGACTTGGAAAACCTTTATGTCTAGCTAGGGGATTGTAAATACACCAATCGGCACTCTGTATCTAGCTCACGGTTTGTAAACACACCAATCAGCACCCTGTGTCTAGCTCACGGTTTGTGAATGCACCAATCGACACTCTGTATCTAGCTACTCTGGTGGGGACTTGGAGAACCTTTGTGTTGACACTCTGTATCTAGCTAATCTAGTGGGGATGTGGAGAACCTTTGTGTCTAGCTCAGGGATTGTAAATGCACCAATCAGCACCCTGTCAAAACAGACCACTCGGCTCTCTGTAAAATGGACCAATCAGCAGGATGTGGGTGGGGCCAGATAAGAGAATAAAAGCAGGCTGCCCAAGCCAGCACTGGCAACCCACTCCCGTCCCCTTCCACACTGCGGAAGCTTTGTTGTTTCGGTCTTTGCAATAGATCTTGCTGCTGCTCACTCTTTGGGTCCACACTGCCTTTATGAGCTGTAACACTCACCGCAAAGGTCTGCAGCATCACTCCTGAAGCCAATAAGACCACGAACCCACCGGGAGGAACGAACAACTCCAGACGCGCCACCTTAAGAGCTGTAACACTCACCGCAAAGGTCCTCACCTTCACTCCTAAGCCAGTGAGACCATGAACCCACCAGAAGGAAGAAACTCCGAACACATCCGAACATCAGAAGGAACAAACTCCGGACACACCACCTTTAAGAACTGTAACACTCACCGCAAGGGTCCGCGGCTTCATTCCTGAAGTCAGTGAGACCAAGAACCCACCAATTCCGGACACACCATGTGGAGCAGATGCCGGTCAGTCAGCAGTGCTCAATTCTAACCACTACAAGAGACCTGCAGTCTCGTTCCAAGAGGCCCGTCAGCAGCCATTGGAGAGAACTGAGTTTACAGTTTAGCCAAATCCATACCTTTCAGGCTTAAGGTTGGCTGGTCACCCAGAGCTGCTCTGGGCCATTCAAAGAGCAGGACGCCTGAGAAAGGAGAGGAGAAGGGCATGCGGGCAGCAGGTGAGCTGGACAAGGGCCCGGCAGGGAGAGTGCTGTAGACACCATGAGGAACCTGCCCATCCCCTGGTCCTCCCATCGTGGGTGGCCTGCCTCTCCTGCCAATGGCAGGGCTATGCCCACCTGCAGCCAGCTTGGCATGCACAGCAAGCCTGAGGGCACAGGCACTGTTACAGATGGGTCAATAAACCCCAATGGCGATGCTTGCTTGGCACAACCAAACCGAGCCCTCAGGATGCAGCAGTGCCTTGTGGAGCTCATGGGCAGCTCAGACACCAAGAGGGAGCATACTCCTGGGCACATGCTGTCTATGAAAATGCAGCTGTGCAGCTGGCCCCAGGATCACACACACCTATGCTGACATGATCAATGGGT
The DNA here is from genome assembly GCF_000001405.40 of Homo sapiens. Lineage (NCBI taxonomy): Eukaryota > Metazoa > Chordata > Mammalia > Primates > Hominidae > Homo > Homo sapiens. Next base: position 4,843,437 of record NC_000010.11, on the reverse strand, counting down.
GTGGGCTGCCACCAATGCCTGTCGTTGCCTGTGAGATCATCACAGGTGACATCCGTGACTGAGGGTGACTGGCAGCTAAGAGCATCAGGTACTTCCATACGCCAGGCACTATGCTATCCCTTCACTGTATCATTACATTTCACCCTCAGTGATCCTATCAGAAGGGTGCTCTACTGAAGAAACAAAGGCTGAGAGAGGTCATGCAGCAGTTAAATCGTGAGTGAGACTGTGGGAATCCCAAGTCCATGGCCCTGACTGGGTTACAGACTATGTCGTCAGGGTTGAAGCCACACAGAGTTCCTTCACATAGCTCCAAAAATAGATTTCACACACTTCACACACTTCTGTGGTTCTTGGCTTAGGTGAAAAGATTGCCCTGAAAAGGACCGCTGCCTCTCTGTGTTCTGCACACGCTCCACCTGTTCCAGTCTTCACTCCTGCCTCTCAGAAGTCACTAGACAGGAGTCAGGACCAGAATCTTCCCACACAACTCAAAGCAGTGCCCTCAGGCCACGTGGGCATGCCTCCATGCGACAGAGGTGGTGACCTGTCCACCAACTGCCTCCCCTTTCTCCTGAGTGCACGCTTAGGAGACATCCAGCCTCCCCTGTGGGCGAGCGCAGCCATGTGACTGGTGCACATGCTCCAGCCTGGCCCACACAAATCATCCCAACAAGATGCTCTTCCCTCCTTCCTAATCTTGGGCTGGATGGAGAAGACACCAACACCCTAGGGGAGAAAGGGCCCTAAGATGGAAGGAGCCTGGGTCCTTTGATCGCTGAGGGAAGGTCAACCACCAACACCCACAGTGCAGAGGGAGAAGCCCCTGTTGCATCAAGCTCCGCAACCCTGAGGCTGTATGCTACAGCAGTCATCCCTTCCCATCTAACACATGATCTGAAACCCGCCAAATAAAAGAAGGAATACACCTACCTGGATATTCTCTTTAATGTGACTTGGGGTGATAGATCCGGGGATCACTATCACATTCCTCTGGATTTGAAATCGGATCAAAATCTGCAAGGAAACAAAAAGTCTACTATCACACAAAGGGAAATCCCATGTAGTCTAAGTTATTTTCTAACATGTGAGTTTTATCATGCAGTAAGAGTCCAAGAATCAATGACAGCAGCTATTGTTACTGGCATTCACTGAGCAGCTCTGTCAATATGTTGGTAATGACAGCCATCAGCCCAAGGAGGAGATCAGAGAATCTGCTTAATGAGAATTCCTTAACATGCGCCCAGCCCCCCACTGGACATTAGAACAAAGAAGACTAGAATAAATAACTTTTCTGTACCATCTCATACTAACCATGCATGCAGTTGGTGGGGCAGAGGGAGAAGGCCTGGAAACTCCTCCTCTGAGTCTAGACAGGCTCGGAGGCAAGAGTACATGGCTTGAGTGACTAGAAATGCGGCTGCAGACCAAATTCTGCTTGACGCTGGGAGGTTCTAATGAGTCATGGACTCACCTGGGTGAGCCAGTCCCTTCCTGGGACCTGCCAAGCCCCAGGACTCCCCAAGGATGTAGAGCGGTCAGAGAACCCCACCTGGCTCAGAACAGCCCTCCCTCCCTACCTGAGCAGGAGACTTGCCGTGCTCCTTTGCAATCCTCTTGATCACAGGGTTGTCTATCAGGTCAACCCCCTCACTAGAGAGACACAGTACAGGGGAGTGAGCCAGGAGATCCAACATGGATGCCCCTTTCTTTAGAAAGAAGAAATCTTTGTCCAAAATGAAAGATTTATTTTCTGATCATGACACATGCCGACTACAGGAAATTTTAAAATGCAGAAAAGCACATCGCCCCACATTTCCAGTATGGAGATAACCACTGCTAACACTTTGGTGAACAAGGCTACACGACATCACTTTTCATGTGTATTTGGTGTTTCTCCTCAAAAACCAGGTGGCCATGTCAGCGCATGCAGCCAGTGGGCTCTCAAGCTTTGACTCCCCCGACTCTCAGGGCTCTCTGACTTCTCAGCTTCTACTGTACACCCTGGCACAGCACAGCGAATCGATATTTGTTGATGATGATACTTTCAGAAAAGTTCGCCCAAAATACTACTAAAAAGTGAATATTGTGAACACGTGGAACCTTTAAAAGTGGTTTTGAAGATGGTCATAGAGTCCCTGTGCATCCTCTGCTCAGGCACGGGTGGGCCCTGAGAACTCTGAGGATTCAGTTTTTTAACGAGTGTGTACTGAGCCATCACCCTGTTTCAGGCATTGTGCTAGTATCGTCCTCGAGGTCTCCTGAAGGAACCAAACAGAGTGCCCAGTTGCCCACCCCAGTCAGTCTGAGAGCTCCCTGACTCACTCCATCAGAGGATCCGCTACCCCAAAGCTCAGCTGTGGAATGGACCCAGCCTTCTAGAGACTCTCCAGCTGGTTCCAAGTTCAAACACACATGCCCCACTTCACAAGGAAAACACACAGGTGATAAAACTCAAGTAATTTCAGCCTTTTCGGGGTTCCCAATGTTTCCCAGGTGCTGAGCTAGAAGCTGGGAAGAGAAGAATAAATAAGATACCTGCACTCTGGTTGCTTTGACTAGTGGAAGGGACTGAGAAGAAAATCACAAGACAGTGTGACAAGGGCTGTGTAAGAAACATAAATAAGGGGTCAGGAGGGCTTCCTGGAGAAGATGATGCTGGACTGAACCTTAAATTAGAAACTGGAGTTTGCCAGATTTAAAAAAAAAAGATTTGTGGGTAAAGAGAACAGTATTTGCAAAGGCACAGAGGTGAGAAAACATGTTCTATCCAAGGACCCCACAGCAGCTTCATGTGGCTGAAGCCCAGGATGTTCACAGGGATGGGAAGGAATGAGGCCAGAGGCAGGCAGAGGTCAGGCTGGCTGCATCTCACAGGCCACACCAAGACCTGAAGAATTTTTCCCAGGAAAGTGATAGGATCATAGGAAAGGAAAGAGACAGCTCCTTTCAGCTCCCACTGGGAGCAATGGATTGGAATGGAGTGGGCCAGGGAGGGAGCTGAGGGGCTCCTCTAATGACCTCGGGAATGCTACTTAACTAAGGCAGTGACAGTGATGGCAGAAATGAAATCATGAAACAAAGTCCAACTTCTCCTGGCAGAATAATCAATAGATTTTGGTGCTGGATTGGACTCGGGATGTGGGAAGGGATGATTTCCAAGCTTCTGGCTTAGGTGGCTGAATGGCTGGAGGTCTCTTAGCTGATCTTGGGAGCACAGTACAGCTGCAGGAGGGCCTGGGTAAAGATGACAGCAGGCTTTGCCTCATCCAACCATGGAGAGGCCTGGGGAGCATCCTTGTCAGGAGGTCAGAAGGGGGCTGACACCCTGGTGGGGAACTCAGCAAAGGGGTCACTCCAGGCTGATTTACGTCCCTGAAGAGGTCCTGACCCTCCCAGGGCAGCCCACTCACAGCCACTCCCTGGCTTCCAATAATAAACCATGCCTTCAATCCCAGGCTTGAGAGGTGTGGACAGCCCCCTATAGTACCATCCCTCCACACCCTGTCAAAACCTCCATTAAGCCCTCCCTCAGTCATCCCAAGGAAATGAGAAGGTGGCATCTACTTCCCAGTCGGACTCTGACTAACACACCACTGAGGTATCCTTACCACGAGCCACCAAGAGGACGGTAAGCAGTCACGGACACATCTCTGGATTGGCAAAAACTGATCAGATTCTTCTGAGTAAGATATGGGTGGCACTCAATCTATAACAGAATCATAGCTTACATAAAATTCAGACCACTAGTGTTCAAGAAAAGCTCTACAAGAGAAGACCTGCGTCAAAGTCTTGGCTGTCACCGAGTAGCCATGGGGCCCAGCTCCAGGCCTAAGTGTTTCTGTTGTGAGGAGTCTGGACAGAGCAATCTCCAAGAGGCCAGCAGGTGTCATGGTCTCTGAGTCCACGGCCTTGGGGACACCTACATCATCTGAATGTTCCAATACCACCTGCTCTGCAGGGCCTTCCCTGAGCACTCAGATAAAGATTGTTAACACACCATAGCTCTCATCTCCCCCGGCCTTTATTTTCCTCTACAGCATCTATCACTATCTGACATCTCATAGATTTTACATATTTGCTCACTGTCTTTCTGTGTCACCAAGATCTAAGCCTCATGAAGATAGAGATTTTTGTTTGAATTTGTTTTGTTCATAGATGTCTCACCAACACTAAGAACAATCTAGACATGTAGGAAGTGCTAAAAATATATCCACTGAATGAATGAATGAAATTGAGGAACTACATGTGACAAATACATTCTACAGGTGACTTGAATGAAAATTTTAAGAAGCTAGAGAGCAGGATCTCTGTCTCTTGCACATTCTCCAAACTCTCACATATAATTCCAGGTTATAAGGAGATTTAAAATAAATAGTTATTTAGTGTAAATTACAGAGAACTATGAATAGTGCGTTTGCTCTCAGGAACATGCCAAGCTCATCAAGATCAGCCTGTTTGGAAAGCCTCCAAAAGAGAGGCCAGCCCTTCTGGAGCCTTCCGCATCCTGTGTTCCTGGTGTCCATCAACCTAACAGAAAGCAGACCCTCCACCCCACTTTGTCTACTCAGACTATGCCATAATCATTCCCAGGTATTTAAAGTGCTGAACAACTAAAAATACTGACACAAAACGGAAGCTACTATCCATATAAACATATATCAAAACTTATATATATAGGGTTGTATACAAGGCAAAGCTGAACTACATGAGAAGCTGGGTCAGAAGCCAGGTTGCTCTTCATGGTGGTGGCTACAACAGGACCCAGGGGAGCTACTGAATGGCTGAGGGCTTTTTTCTTGTTCTGGGTGCTGAATACTTGAGTTTGTTCACTTGCAAAAATTCATCAAGCTATGTATGCCTTTTATGATTCACACACTTTTCTGCATCTACTCCATACAGAACTTTTTTAAAAAGCATATTTATTCAAAAAAATAGAACATGATGCTCTATTCTTAATAGTCCCAAACTGGAAACTGTCTAAGTGCCCATTAACAGCAGAATGGATAACTCAATTGTGGTTAATTCACAAAACAGAATACCACAAGAAATAAGAGAGCACTATCTACAATCACATGTACAGAAACACAGTGCTGTGTGAAAGAGGCGAGCACAGAGGGGTTTATGTTGCATTATTATTTTATTTTACCTGTGTAAAGTTCAGACGTGAATCCCAGCTGCTGGGAATGGGAATGATGCTGTGCTCGGCAGGGGTTACAGGGGCACTGGACGTGCTGTTTACTGAGCTGGATGCTAGTCCCAGAGCTATGCTCAGTTTATGAGAATTTATACAGTTCCATTTTCACATGTGCACTTCTACTCTTCAATAAAAAGCTTAAGTACTGTATAAATGATCTTTGAACATACAAAGCTAGTCTAGAAAATACAATAGTTATTTCCCCACAAGTCTTTTCTCTGCATTAAAAAAACGAAGTGCCTGCATCACCTTCAGCAGCCTGTGAGCCTCGCGTGAAGCCATCTAGTCATCCACTCTTTCTTGCTGCAGTCTGCAGGCTGGGAAGAGGTAGAGGGGAGGCCCATGTTCCTGGATAAGGGTGAGGCACCTGCCAGGACCCTGACTGCTTCTGAGTACACCTGGTGACCTGCCTGCACTGCACATGGAGGGCCAAGCACCAGCTCATGCCCTGCCTGCCAACAGTACCATCTACCCAGATGCACCTTCAAGAAAGCCACTTGCCTAGCTGCTGCCTTTAATCACCATTCTGAGTGCTGCCAGAGGAGAACAGGCCTGTTTTGTGCTTCACCCATTCTTCCATTTCCAGAAGAGCCCTGTGGAGGTGGCAGCTGGGGGACCAGCCACACAGGTTAAACTCTCTGATGCTTCCATCGGCTTACCTGGTTGGTTAGTGGCTTGAACCTCAACCCAGGCTTATTCAAAAGCCTCTCAAGCTGTTCATGGTTGAAGTTTGACACCCCGATGTTCTTCACCAGCCCGGTGATCACCAGGTCCTCCATGGCCTATAAGAGAACGACTCTGCTGGGTGTGAAGCTTCTGTCTACTGCACTGACAATCTACGTCCCTCAGCAGTTCTGTATGGTATTCTAAAACTGGTTGGACCCAATATTTTTACAATATTTTACTTGAAGCTTCAAAAGCATTTCTGCACTCAAGGTCTGATTTCAGTCCCATCTTTTCTGGCTAGAGGATGCTGGGCAAGTTGCATGGCCTCACTTGGCCCCAATTTTCTCAGCTTCAGGACAGGTCTACATGGCCTGTGCCACGGGGATGTTTAGGGGTTATGTGGAATCACAGGAAGTGTCAGCTAAGGCTGGCGTCCAGTACTCGACACATGTGAGCTCTTCTTGTTCCTATTCCTCCTGATGTCTGGCAAGCATGTCTGCTGCGGATTTTATTTGTTCACCTTTCTTTCCACTGAGACACTGACCTTCTTAAGCACACGGATACATCACCATTCTCCTATCCCACCTTCTCCACTTACTATTTTAAGACACTTTAGGGCAGAGCAACCTAAAGCTCTGAGCTGGTCACTGACCAGCAAGCCAGGCTGCCCCTGAGCTTCAGGAAGAGCATAGCTTCGTGCCAGGGTCCGTAGTCAGCAGCAAGTCCTGAGTGACCAATGGGCCAACACGCAGCAGTTAGTTACTGCCTCAACTCTGCAACAATCACCGGAACCTCGCTGGTGCTACATGAGCACCCTAGAGTTTAACCCAAATCTTTTAGGACCTAAAACATTGTGACAGAAAGAGTTGAGGCCCATGGGCCCTGGTCCTGACATCTCAGATACCTTAGGTCAGTCTTTGTCTTCTATTGATGGGGGGAGCCTAGCCTGGGACTCCTCCCTGTCCGAGGGTTCCCTCTGGCCTCCTCCCTGGAGAGCTTCACCCAGCAAGCTCTGTCCTAACCTCAGCAAGCTTAAGCTTAAGCTTACTTTCTTCTTGGGCCTCAAATGTGATGTCCCATCCCACATGATGGTTAGCAAGACTGTAAGACCACACGTGCTCGGTCAGCCATGCTGGAGCCCAAGCCTGAGACCCACCCCAGCCTGTGGGTCAACTTCCAGGAACCTCTCAAATCCACCACCCCCTTAATTTCCTGCTCAAGTCTTTACTGCAAGCCCCTGCAGTAAAGGGCTGTTTTTGGTCTGAACCCTGGAAATGGGCTGACACTTGGTAACCTTCCCCGACACTGGTCTCACCTCCCCAGCCTGAGCTTCCATGCTGCCAACTTTATCATTCTGAAATGCTTGAGAGAAAAAGGAACTATAAAACATTAACAGTGGTTACTGCTGGGTGCCAGGAAAATAAAATTTTTAATGTTAGTTTAATGCAGAAGAACTCTCCTGTATTTTCTGAAATAAATATGGTTTTTAATAAAAAAATAAATAAATATTTGAGAAAAAAAGTGAGGTCTATAATGAGCTACCCCTCAAATGTGTCAAGAGAACTGCACCATACCAAACCAAAGGTAACAAGAAAGTCACTGAGGTCTCTGAGTTCTTCGGGTATTGATTCCTTTTTTGCTCCACAAACCCCACATCTCAGGTAGACAACCTTGATGTCTTTGAACACAAGCAGCTCAGGGCTCACTGCATCCTGGGTGGAGACCCACACAGGATGAGGCTGCCTGGTGGTGTGGCTCAGCTCACCTCCCACGTGTCCAGGAAGTCCGTGTCACTGGGAATAACCATGTTGCTCTCGTCCAGAGGCAAGTCCTGCACTCGAGGATGTGAGAGGCAGAAGGAAAGTTCACTGCAGCTCATGATCCATTCTGGATGAGGAGGCTGCGAAGAAGGAGAGTTGAGATGTGTGAAAACAAAACAAAACAAAACAAAAAAAACCATGTGTCAGGAGACCTGCATCCAAGCCACAGCCCTGTCACTAAGCAACCCCAGCCTGGCCATGTGACCAGGCCCAGTCTTCACCTTTCTAAGAAAAGATGAATGGCTGGTGGACTGGATGGCTGGCAAAGCCTCTGCCAGCCTGATGTTCACTGTTCATCTCTCACAAGATGGGAAAGGAAGACCCTGTATCCTTACTGATGCAAGGTTGTCCTCTCCCATTGCCTCCAGAAAATAGTTTACTAATTTCGGGTAAAGAATGGGTGAGGAGTGCATTTTCTTCATGTCTTATAGAGCCCAATCAACCCTCTCCTAACTCCACTGTTAGGGTCTTGTCTTCTTTCTTAGAATCCCCATCATGATGACAGGTAAGGAAGTGAGAATACAAAGGTACACAGGAGGTAGAGGGCAGAGAGATACATCTTGAAAGGGCAAGAACCTAAAGTCATCTTTCAGAGAAGCACTGACGTGCAATCCAGCTACCTCCCTCATGTACTCCCACGTAGCATGTTAAGGGTGAATGGCATAGGCATGTTTATTTAATGACACCTAATCACACTCCTAAACAACAGTGGAAGAATGTCACATGTTCCAGCCTGATACACATGAAAGAGGCATTTTCCATGATGAGCTGAAGTAACTAACAGTCTCACTTTAAAGCCACATCCCATGTTGCCATTTATCCAAGCCTCCACAAAATTGCAGCCCGGGACTCATACTCGGACCCTGATCTAATTGTCCAGCATCACACAAGGCCTAGCAGTTCCTACTGGCCAGAAGACATGCTGACGATGCTGCATTATTCTCTTCTGTAATTTGTTGGATGATCTGAGACCTTTTCCTTTTCTACGACCCAGAAATCCAAAGACAGGAATCTGCTAAAGGATGAGGGCAAGGAAAGTGTAACAAATGTCTGACCTGAGCATATGCTTCTGGGCTCCAATAATCTAACTTAAACCTTAAACTTTCTGTATCTTAGTTTCATCATCTCTCCAAGAGGGATGTTAATAGTGTCAACTTTGTAGAACTGTCATGAGAATTAAATGAGTTAATATGTGTAAAGTACCTAACATAGTTCTGGGTACATAATTACAACAATGCTGGCTGGCAATGAGTGTAATACAGCTGTAGCCATTGTTTTAATTATGATTTTCTGCATGCAATGAATTTCAAGGCACAGACATCACTCTGGTTTTGCCCTCTGGGTATCTTCCCCTCTTAGTCAGTGTCACTAACGGACAGCTGCCCACATCGTTTATGGAAACTAGATACAAAGCCTTAGTTAAGTAAAGCTGTGCTAGGAATGAAGTGTTTTTTGTTATTTTACTCTAAAACAGTAACCAACAGTGTGGCACACATAAAGGGACCTTCTCACAGGTTGGTATGTAGAAGACTGCTGAGCAGCAGTCACCCATTCCATTGTAGGAAGAACATCCCTGCAAGGGCTTCTGTATTTCACAGGTGTCAACTGTGTGATCAGGCCCTTGCCCAGGCAGGCTGTCATCACAGCCCAGGGCAAATATGCAGGGACATCCTGGCCAGGACCCGTGTGAGGCAGAAGCAGGTTGCCTAGAGTAGGGAAGTTGCACGGCCAGACTGGGGTAGCTTAGTGACAGAGCCATGGCTCAGATGCATGCTCCAGACACACTGTGAAGCAATTAAGAGAATAAAACCAAGTGGAAAAGTCAACTACCAGCACAACCCACTGGACCCTGCTGCAGGTGAACAAGCAAATATCTCCCATATTGCAAAACAGCATTTACTCCCCAAAGAGAACAGAACCTGCAAGAAGAGACAAGGCCTAGGAATTCACTGGGAACTTTCTCTGAGCAGCAGTATTTCCTCATCTGATCACTGCTTTCACCTAAAAACCTAAGGGAAAAAAATCTACTGCTCTCTTGGCTTGGAAAAAAAGCGACTGGCTTGAAAGACAGACCTGTGGGGGCCTCAGAGGTCAAGCCAAGCCTCTCCTTAACTGAGGCCCAGAGATATCAAGAGGACTGCCCAAATGCCGCAGCTAGCATGTGGCAGATGCAGCCTGGGAACCCCTGCCCTGAATGCTGGTCCATGCTCTCCCCACCGCAAGACAGGGTGTGAGCACGGGGAGGAAGGTCCTGCAAACTGCAGAACGAACTACCTACTGAACGGTACCTTGAAACCCATGGGCCAGTGTATGAGGTAGAGGTCCAAATAGTTCAGCTTCAAGGCCTTGAGACTCTTTCTGCATGCTGTTTCCACCAAGGACTTCTTATGGCAGGTGCACCACAGCTACAAAGGAGAGGGGACCAGCGTCACACGTGCCCACCCAGAGCCAGCATGGCACCCATTCTGTAGCCCCACAAAGCTACTGTCTTGAACCCAAAATAGCCAAGATGAGATGACCACAAATACAACACGGCAAGTTCTGATGGGAGGACAGGGACATTATCCTCAGAAGAGTTCCAGGACACCTGCAGGGAGAGGCTCCAAAGCTGGGATCCTTCTGCCTGACTCCTCCTCAAGGGAAGCTCAGGAATCCAAGAGATATTTGATGGTTATTTGGATTCATTGGGACCAAAAACAAAAACGAAAATGAAATTCCTGCAGGCAGAAAAGATATGACGAAAAATCAGAAGAATCTCTATCTTGTGTTTCTCACTTACACAGACTCCGTATTAAGAGTTCTCTGTTCCTAAGGCACTGTAACCATGTGGGTTAGCCTATAGGTGAGTTAGCTCACACTGCCTTACTTCTTTTAGCTATCTCCTTCCACACTCTCATTATGTAGAAAAACTTGTGTTTTTCCCCTCATTTTACTTTTATTGACTGTGACATAAGCTAACCTGAAGGCTCCATCACAGCAAGGGAAAAACATGAAAGTAAAGTAAAAGAAAGTAAAGTAAAAGAAAGTAAAAGAAAGGGGAATCAAATAAATGAAAACAAACGAGCACAGTATCTTCACAAAAATAAAAAAATGAATGCTGGAAGTAAATGTATTCCATTGTTAATCACAGTTGTCTCCATGTGGTGCTTATATGTGTGATTTATTTATTTCTAATTACATTTCTATGACTTTTCCAAATTTCCAAAATAATGAACATATTTCCACTGCTGACTACGATCCACACAGAAGCAACTTGCTCCAAATTGCAGGGTGAGCCTTAGAAATCTCCAGTTGCTCACATCCCTACCTGGACTATTCAGAAGACATTCTCCCCGCTTGGCCAAGCACACACCAAGGCTGCTCTCTTACCACCCTCTGCTCTAGTGCAGATAGCAATGGTGCCTGAAGAACATTAACTTCCATAAAGTAAAACAGAAGGCAATTCAACTATAGAAACAACATTGAATCTTGAGGTATGAAACTTTAGCTGGGAAGTTACTCAGGAAATTCTCAAATCCAAAGTCTCATTTTACAAATAATGAAGCTGTGAGCCTGAGCCATCTAATCCCTAATACTCACAGCTCCTGAATGGCAGCTAGACCATGAACCCATGACTCCTGATCTCATGGTCTTACATTCTGCTTCCAAATCAAAAGCAAAGGAATTCTTGAATTCTCCACTATCGTAGTCCACTCTGCATCTTCCACAGGTCCTGACTCCCAATACCCTCCACATCCATTTCCTCTTCTCCCTCCCTCACCCACTGTGCCAGTGCAGGCCTTCATCATCTTCCACCTGCACTGCTGTTAATGTCTCCTACCTGGCCTCCTGCCTCTGCCTCAAATGCAAGCTTCTTTCACCTACTAAAATATCCTATATACAACACAAGTTGCACTCACATATGATACAAGCTGCCCTATTTAAAAATGAAACAGGGCTCCTCTGTCTCTAGGTAAAAGCACAGCTCCTGACAGGGCACAGCTGAACTTCCATGGCTTAGCCTATCCACCACTCAGCCTCACTTCTCATTACTCCTGCAACCTGACATTGTGTGGTCCAGAGAGACCAAGTGATTTGGTTTGGTTGTGTCCACAGCCAAATCTCATCTTGAATTGTAGCTCCCATAATCCCTACGTGTCATGGGAGGGACCCAGTGGGAGGTAACTGAATCATGGGGGCAAGTTTTTCCTATGCTGTTCTGGTGATAGTGAATAAGTCTCGTGACAACTGATGGTTTTATAAACGGCAGTTCCCCTGTACACTTTCTCTTGTCTGCTACCATGTAAGACGTGCCTTTGTTCCTCCTTCGCCTTTTGCCATGATTGTGAGGCCTCCCCAGCTATGTGAAACTGTGAGTCAATTAAACCTCTTTTTCTTTATAAACTACCCAGTCTCAGGTATGTTCGTACAGCAGCATGAGAACAGACTAATACACCAAGCTTCCTACAAACCCCTGCACCTGCCGTGCTGCTTCCTGCCTTATGCCTGTGCTCAAGCTGCTTCCTCCACACCCAGAGTTTCTCCTTCAACAGATGTGGGGTAGAATTTGGAATCTGCATTTAACAATCACCCCAGTGATTCTGAATTTAGGAATCGCTGTGTAAACAGACTTCATGAGGGCTAGGACTTTGTCCTATTCACCACTGTAGTCAAAGTGCCCATCACTAACTGAATTTTGATAATGTATTGTTAATTGGGGGATATCTGTGTACTCCTACCTGAATGACCAAGTAAATAATATGAAACAAACCTGCACACAATATAATTCAGCATGCTCATGAAGCTGTGAATATTCTTGTTTATTCCGATTTGAGTATGAAACAAAGTCATCAACTCCCATAAAGAAAGTAGAAAGCCCTCCAGAGATGTAGCATTACCCAAGCTCTGCCAGCCTTGCATAGAGAAGCCCTACCTTAGTGGCAATGAACAGATCCTCCCGTCTTACAGCGCCTTCCTTGATCTTGCAACGGATCCCTGCTCCAACCTCCCTCTCATTGTGGTAAAAGTAAGCACAGTCGAAGTGCCGGTACCCTGCGTCAATGGCCTCTTTCACTGCCTCGGTCACTTTCCCTGGAGAAGCCTGCAAAACCAACAAAACAAAGTGTCTTCTCACAGTCAGAGGAATCCAACACAAATCTCCCCTTTCACCCAAGCATGTGGACAACATAATACATAAAAAATTAAGTCACTAATTTGGTACTAGTATAATCAGTCTAAAAACAGGCAATATCAGTTATGAAGGAATTTATGAATAATCTAAGTTCCAACTCCTTTACATATTTTGGGAAAAAAAAACTATAGGTTATTTTTAGTGTCTGCAGAAAACTGAGCTAGATGGTATGCTTCCTGAATGATCAAAGCAATAAAAAAGTACAGAATGAATAATAACTGAGATGCAAAGAGGCTTAAGATTTATCCTGTATACTCAGATACCACAGCGTCCAATAATAAAGGCTGAGGTGTAGACTCACACGAAGGTATCCATACAAAAAGAAGTATATAACAAAACCTAAATGAATGTATAATGCTACAAGCAATAAGGTAGTTCAGAAAAGAGAACAGTCACTCTAAATGAAGCTCAGGCAAGGGAAGGGACTAGAACTAGGGAAGACTATGGGGGTGGGCGGGTTTGCAGTCTCATTAAACTGAAGACTGACAAGGGCTTTATAGTTCACAAACCACTTTCTCACTGGAGCTTCACGGTAACCCTAGGAGTTAGAGCAGCATAATTATCTTCATTTTATAGGCAACAGATTCAGAGTGGTTGAAAGCTAATGAACCAAGTATCCATCTTAAGTTAGAAAAAGAACCCAAGAAATTGGATGGAAAGATAAAAATATGATTAAGAATAACATCAATAAAATAGAAAACAAAGATGTAACAGAGAAGATCAACAAAACCAGAAGTCAGTTCTTTGAAAAACTTCAGTAAAATAAACAGACTTCTGGCTAGGTTGATGAAGAGGCCAACTTTTTAAAAAACTGACACGAATGGACAGTAAAACATGCAGATAAAATGGACTTAAAAGAAAATATTACCAATAACTATATGTCAATAACTTGGAAAAATGAGATAAAATGGGAAAATTCCTAGAAAAATTTAACCCAAGAATAAAGCTTGAATAGTTACATAATTATTAAAGAATGCAAGGAATTCAAAAAAAAGAGAAAACCACCAGTTTCATAAAATTTTCAAGAAAAAAATCATCTCAGTTTAACACAGACTTTCAAACAACAGAAAAAGACGGACTTATCTCAACTCATTCTACAAAACTAGCATAACCCTGAATCAAAATCAGACAAAAATATTAAAAGTCACACATTCATCTTATTCATGAATACCGTTGCAAAATTCATAAGTAAAATAAAAGCAAATTGGATGCAACAATATTTATGAAAAGATAATATACCACACCCATGTTGAGTGTATCTCAGATATCTAAGGATGGTTTGATATTAGAAAATCTGTAATTCATCAATATTAACAGATTAAAGTACAAAAACAAAAGTCAACTCAATCAATATTTGTTAAGATTCAATACCAGTTTAGATTCAAAATCTAAACTCCCAGTAAGTCGGGGAAAAGAATTAATCTGATAAAGAGTATCAATATTAAAAAATATCCATCTTACATCCTTTAAAATCAGGTACAAAACAAGAATGGCCACTGTGCTGGAGGTGCTTTCCAGAAGCACCTGAACAACTAAGAAGAAGCAATTTTAAGCTTAAAGAGTGGAAAAAAAGGAAAGTAAACTACCATTATTTGCTGATGATATGATCATTTGTGTAGAAAATCCAAACAAATGTAACACAAATTAACAGAAATAACAGTACAGTTTAGTAAAGTGGCTGGAAGTGTAATGAATATAGCAGGTGAAACAAGTAGAAAATGTAACTTCAGAGAAATATAATTTCCAGTAGTATAACACACTATCAAGAACCCAATAATAATTCCAACAAAAGACATATATTCTCTTCAGGAAAAACTATACAACCATATGAAAAGATGTTAGAAATGAACCATATTCAGGACAATTTATTAACAGAGAAGAATACCATGCTTGTAGAAAAGTTAAGATTTAACATTACAAAGGTGTCAATTATCTCCAAGCTGGTCTACAGATTTAATGTAGTTCCAATCAAAACCCCAATAAAGTTTCTCATGGAACCTTCTAAGCTAGTTCTAAAACTTACAGTGGAGAGTAAGGTGCCAAAATAAAAAGCCAGGACCCAGGTACATGCATCTGTCAAAACTCATCAAATTGTACACTGTAAATCTACAACAGCAGGGAGAGGTGACCTGCCCTACTAGGTATGGGCGCTTATCAAGGAACTGTAGTAATTAAGACAGCACCGATCAGGCACACAGATGGATCAAGTGGCCCCTAATAATGAAGAGCCCAGGCTGAGGTCTCCAGACATCTCACCGCTCCCCTTGCTCTCTTGTGCTTCAGCCATCATCTTGAGAACACTCCCTAACTAACCGCACGAGGACAGGAGATGTGCGGAGCCAAGTGGAGTAGCCCCAACCATCCCAACTGAGCCCAGCCAAGGTCCACAGAGCTGCTCTCCTGACCTCCCGTGTGGGAGGAATACACTTGCTGCTGTACACCACTGAGGTCTGGTGTTTGGCCATTGATGCAGCATTTCTGGGGCAACAGATAACGGATAGGTCTGTGATGTTTATTCACTATTAAAAATAGACGAGTAAAAATAAGCCTTTGCATAGACCAGTGATGAGTGATTATGATTAATCCAATTTGATGCACCTGCAGTCCAAGAAAAATAAATAGAATATTTTGACCTGTTAAGCACAGTTTTCACTAATTTTTCCTTATCCTGTGTGCACGAAAGTCTGGACTCCTGCACCAAATTGTTGCAGAAATAAAGGGAAGCAAGAGACTCAACAGTTTAATCCATCGAGTGCTTACTGAATGAAGGGCTGACAGATGCACGTCCTTCACTAGATGCTGAGAACCAATATGAACAAAACGACACTCCTAGCCTCTAAGAGTTGGTAAGCAGGTAAGAGAAATAATTTAAATAATATTTTCATGAGCAGGCCTTGAACATTCTGACTCCTTCAGTAACTAACTTCCTATATGACTTCTTATAGCTTTTATCAACAACTAAGTTTAGCTTTTTTTTTTTAAAGATCAAATTTTAAACGCTTTTTAGTCAGTGCTGTCTCAAATCACTGGCAGGAATTGTGAAGTTCAAAGCAGAGAAAGGTCGTAGAATAGAATGGTGGTTATAAGACGCTGGGGGCTGGGGGAGGTGAGGAAGGAGGGAATGGGGAGTTGCTGATCAAAGGGTACAAAGTTTCAAACACACAGGAGACACAGCTTTTAAGACTTACTGCGCACTAGGATGCCAACAGTCAACAATAATTTACTACACATGTGTATTTCAAAATAACAAGACATTTCAAACATCTTACCACAAACAATAATAACTGAGAGAGGTGATAGATATGTTAATTAGCTTGATTTAACCACATTGCAATTGTATACACGGCTCAAAACATTACGCTGCACCCCATAAATGCACAGAGCGATTATATGTCTCAGGCATCAGGGCAGGTTGCTTCTAAACAGGGAACAACATGAGATCCCAAAGTTTCTTTTAAAGCCTAATCAGCAATTCCAATTTTCCTTTTTTCTTTTTTTTTTTTTTTTTTCCAGCAAGGTCTGGCTCTGTCCCCAAGGCTGGAGTGCAGTGGCGCCATCAAAGCTCACTGCAGCATCGACTTCCTGGTCTCCAGTGATCCTCCCACCTCAGCCTCCTGAGTAGCTGGGACCACAGGCGCGCACCCCCAAGCCCAGCTGATTTGTTCATTTTTTGTAGAAACAGGGTTTCGCCATGTTGACCTGGCTGGTCTTGAACTCCTGAGCTCAGGCGATCCTACTGCCTCGGCCTCCCAAAGTGCTGGGATTACAAGCCCGCACCCCACGCCCGGCCCCAACTTTTCTTTCTCTCTTTGCTGGAGAGGAGGCTTCGAGGTTCCCTGTTCCGGCCGAGTCCAGCGCCGCCAAGGCCTCCCCTCGGCATCCCCGCTCCAGTTCTGAGTAACTTCAAGGGCTCCGCCTCTCCACAGAGCAGCCCCGCCCAACGCCGCGGCCGCAGCCCCAGAGTCTGAGGCTTGGCTGCCGAGGTTCCCGCTTCTCCCAGAGAGCGCCTCGGCGGGCAGCACCGACTCCGTTTTAGGAAAGGCCGGGCCGGGCTGCTTGTGGGCGGTGGGCGGCCACCTCAGCAGCGCCTTTCCCGGGCGTCGGCCAGGCGGAGGGGAGGCCGCCGCACTTCTCCCCAGCCCCGGCCTGGGTCCCATCGGGCGCCCCCAAGTCCCGCGCTCCCCTAGGTCAGGCGCGCCTCCCTGCCCGCGACCGCGTCACCTTCCAGGAGCTGAGGCCCACGGCTGGGATATCTCCCATGGCCGCCGCCGGCCGCCCCGCCGCCCCGCCGCCCCGCACGCGACTACCGACAGGCACCGCGCGAGCTACTGCGGCGCTGGCGACCCGCCGTTGCGACTGGCTGGAAGTGCCTTGTGACGGCTGACACTCCGACAATGGCTGGAAGCATGAACGCAGGGCTTCCTGACTGGCTGCTGGTGTCGCGCGCCGGGCACTGACTGGCTGGTTGTATTAAGGACGGGCACCCCGATTGGCTGGAGGCGCAGAGCCAGCTGGAGTCCCAAATGGCTGGAAGCACCGCGCTCTGGACATCCTGATTGGCTGGCGGCATAGACGACGGAATTTTCGATTGGCTTGCAGAGCCACGCAGGAGCAGGGAAGGTTTTACAATCGGCTGGCATTGCCGCTCACGCCCCCACCTTAGGTGTGACCTCCTGGTTGCCTTCTCCCTCGCACCGGGTGCATATGCGACTGAGGGTAGGGCAGAGGTGCTAGGTTGATGGGCAGAGAGTCTTCACCGTTCCAGGGCCTCGCCATGGCCGGGCCATCCTAGGGCAAGCTCTAGGGTCAGGGTGCAGAGTCCTGCGTCCCCTGGGGCACAGGGTGCGCGGGAGTGGGTCCCCGCTCTCTTGTACCAAGGATGGCCATTCTCAGGTGCCCCGAGGCCCCCAGTCTGGGAGAAGCGTGCCTGGCCTTGGTTCCCCGTCAGGGAGCCACTGTGCCCTTGGAAAATGCCTTCCACTCCCTGGGTCCTGGCCCAGAGCGGCTGGGGCTTGCAGGACAGCGGGGGTCCTGGGTGGTGCAGGGGAGGCCGAGCCCTGCATGTAGAGGGGAGCGTCCTTGCTTGCAGCCTCGGGCCCCCGTTTGGAAGTGGATGGGGTGGACTGGACACCCCCCTTATGAGTGGACTGGGCTCCCCCAGGGCCAGTGGAGGGAAAGAGGGGTCAAGGGAGCCTTCCGACGCCCCTCTTATCTCTCCTGGAGCTTACAGCTCCCCCTTCATTGCCCCCCTCAGCCCTGGGAGTCCTACTGCCTTGAGGACACCCACACCCAGATGAGGGCTTTGTTTCTAGGTTCCTTGCCTGGGTCTTCAGTGCTGGCCATCAGGGGAGGCGCTGCCCATTCTGCTCAATGGGGCGGCTGCAGCCAGAGAAACTCCCAGGGTCACTCTGGGTGTCCCCCTGCCTCCCACCCAACTTGCATCTCCTGTGAGCATCCATCTCCTCAATGTGAGCTCCTCACAGGTGGGAAGGGGGATCTTCGATACTCTCATTTATTCATTCAGAAACTGTGCCTGGAGCACTCACCTGTGCACGGGGCAAGTTAGGCCAGGGTGCAGTGCTGAAAATGACCTGCATGGGCCTTGCCCTCAGGAGCTCACCATCTGTAGGAATGAATGGACAGAGCATAAAAGCAAATGCATGAGAAAAAAAAAGAGCAGGTGCTATAGTAAAATAAAGCAGGTGCTTGTGGTGAGAGGCGGAAGGGACAGAGTGAGGGAATCCTCAACACCTCAATGAAGTGGCATTTATGCTGCAAACAGAAAGGCAAAGAGTGAGGGAACCAGCCCTGCACAAGTCTGGGAACAGTATTCCTGGGGGAAGCTCTACTGCACTGCAATCGTGTATCATGCTATTTCATTGTTTTAACAGAAATTCCATAAGTCTATGACGTTGAGCATCTTTTACTCTGCTTCTTTGCTATCTGTATATCTTTGATAAGGTGTGTTTTCAGGTCTTTTGCCCATTTTTTATTTGGGTCATTCATTTTCTTATTGTTGGATTTTAAGAGTTCTTTGTGTATTTTGGATAAGAGTCCTTTATTAGATGTGTCTTTGTAAATATTTTCTCCCAGTCTGTCTGTAACTTGTCTTTTCATTTCCTTGACATTGTCTTTAGCAAAATAAAAAAATTTTTATTTTAACGAAGTGAGCTTATCAATTATTTCTTTCATGGCTCATCCCTTTGATGTTGTATTTTAAAAGTCATTGCAAAGACATAAGAATTATATAATGGACTTCGGGGACTCAGGGGGAAGGCTGGGAGGGGAGTGAGAGATAAAAGACTACACATTGGGCACAATGTACACTACTCTGGTGATGGGTGCACCAGAATATCAGAAATCACCACTAAATAACTTTTCCATGCAACCAAACACTACTTGTCGCCCCAAAACAATTGAAATAAAAATTAAAATTAAAAAATCAGAGACTAGACAGAAAAAAATTAAAATAAAAATTAGTAAATTAGAATATCCTGGAACACAGTAATCAATATAAAAAATAAAAATAAAAAAAATCACTAAACCCAAGATCATCTAGATTTTCTCTTATTTTCTAGAAGTTTCATAGTGTTGTGTTTTACATTTAGGCCTTCGATCCACTTTGAGTTAATTTTAATGAAGAGTGTGAGATCTGTGTCTGGATTTATTTTTTTGCATGTGGATGTCCAACATCATTTGTTGAAAAGACTGAAAGTTCTCCAGTGTATTGCCTTTGCTCCTTTGTCAAACATCAGCTTATTATATTTGTGGTGATCTATTTCTGTGCTATTTTGTTCCATTGATCCATTTGCCTGTTTCATAAATACCACACTGTCTTGATTACTGCAGTAGATTTATTGTAAGTCTTGAGGTCAGGTAGTGTGAGTCCTCTAACTTTGTTCTTTTCCTTCAATATTGAGTTATCTATTCTGTGTCTTTTGCTTCTTCATATGAACTATGGATTCAGTTTATCCACAAAATAATTTAGTAAGATTTTGATGAGATTACACTGAATGTTTAGATCAGTTTGGGGAGAGCTGATGTCTTGACAATATTGAGTCCTTGTATTCATGAACATGGAATATCACTCGATTTATTTATTTATTTTTACATCTTTCATCAGAGTTTTGTAGTTTTCCTATATAGGACTCATATGTATTTTGTTAGATTTATACATAAGTATTTCATTTTCGGGGGTGCTAATGTAAATGGTACTGTGCTTTTAATTTCAAATACCACTTGTTGAATTCTGGTATATAGGAAAATAGTTGATTTTTGTATATTAATCTTGTCTTCTGCAACCTTGCTATAATTGCTTAGTAGTTTCAGAAGCTTTTCATCAATTCTTTGGAAATTAAATTAAGATAGCAAATAATGTCACCTGTGAACAAAGACAGTTTAATTTTTTTCTTCCCAAACTGTATATCTTTTTTTTTTTTTTTTTTTTTTTTTTTAGACAGAGTCTCACTCTGTCACCCAGGCTGGAGTGCAGTGGCGGGATCTCGGCTCACAGCAACCTCTGCCTCCTGGGTTCTAGCGATTCTCCTGCCTCAGCCTCATGAGTAGCTGGGATTACAGGCATGCATCACTATGCCTGGCTAATTTTTATGTTTTTAGTAGAGATGGGGTTTCATCTTGTTGGTCAGGGTGGTCTCAAACTCCTGACCTCATGATCCACCCTCCTTGGCCTCCCAAAGTGCTGGGATTACAGGCGTGAGCCACTGCACCCAGCCTGTATACCTTTTAGTTCCTTTTTTGTCTTATTATATTAGTTAGGATGTCCAGTACAGTGTTGAGAAGGAGTGGTGAGGGGACATTTTTTGCCTTTTCTTGGTAGAAGTGCTTTTTAACAGTACAGTTTCCCCATATGTGCCCTATTGAATCAGAAGGTTATGGTGGGTGTTTGGGACCTTTGGTCTGGAAGATTTCTAACGGCCTCATTGACAGATGCATTTGTATGTCATGGTATAACTTCACACTCAAAATACTTTTGTCTTTGTTATGGCATTCTGCTATAGCTGCTAAGATGCTGAGGCTTAAGAAATTCTTCATGAACACTTATTACCTCGCTCTCAGCTATTGTCTTTTTACCCTTGTCACTGTCTTTAGTGGATACTGGGATTTGCTGATTGTAATTGTCGTCCTGGTGATCTGCTTCCTGTGTGATATACTAGATCCATTAGTGTCTCCTGCATATCCCGTGGCTGGGGGTGTGGAGAGTAATAGATAAGATAGCCTCCCATGGAAGTAGCTAAAGGGTTTGTGTGTTTGGGAGACGAGATTAGGAAAGTTCACAAGTAATAATATAAACTAGAATAAAAAAATAGCGTGGGATAAATATAAATGATATTCAGTGGGACTCTAAAAGGAAGAAATTGTATGAAGTTGTGAGGGATAAATGATTATTGAAATCAGCCTTCAAGATAAGAAGTACTGATGAATAGAAATGGGGAGAAATAATTTTTTGGTGGTTGAGCAGTTTTATTTAAAGATTCTCAACATATAACACATTGTCAAGGGAAAAGGGAGCATGAATATGAAGTGCAGCATGAACACACTTTTTAAAAGTGCATTTTGGTAGCTCCATGGATAGCCTGTTCTTAAGGATGAGGGAAGTTAACGCTGGGAGTGAGTGAATATTTTAGGTTTAGATATAGGCATTTCTTTATCTAGTTGCTTTATTGGGTATCTTACACTGAATAATAATGTATAGGGAATAGTCTCTCTGGGGCATCTTTGCACAGTGGCTCATTCTAAATCCCCATCACTGGTGCATGCATTGAGGGAATAACACACATCTGCTACAGCCTGTGTGTATGTTTCTCAGTGTTTGACACAGCTTCACACAACCTTCATCATCACCTCAGCAAACTCAGGGCTAGACCTTTTGAGACAACAGAGCAACAAGTGTGATTTCTCTGCACACATATGATGTTGAGAGATGAGGACAGGGAGAAGTGCAGAAACAACAGCACACCTTTTGTTTTTTTTTTTTGCAGCTGGACAGATAAGCACACTCAGGGGAGAAAACGTAGGGTCCACTAGGGATGAGAGAGTAGAAACCAGCAACAGAAATGCCAGCTGCCCATGAAGAATCAAAGAAGCAGCAAACAAAAGCTAAACGCTGTCCTGCTGGTGGCAGCTCTGCTAAGCCTGTTTTGATAGACTTGAATTTTTGCACACCTCACAACAAAGCACTCAGCCTTTCAGTTCTTGCTTTGAGTCAATTGTTCTAATAACATCATTAACCCGGGGAACAGCACTAAGTGATTCTGTTTGGGTTGAAGCCAGTAAGAAGCCCAAGGACGAAATGTACCACTTCATGCCGAATCTTTACAAACACCATTCCTGGCACTAAAGGTTTACTTGACTTTTCTCCCCAGTAGCCAAGGGACCTATCTTCTGCCAAGGTTTCAATGGAGATGGCCAATCGGAGTCATCTAAGCCAAAATAAACCTCTTTTTGTCCTCCAAGAGCAGATTTGCTTGTGTGAATGATGCAGTTGTTATCTTGCCAAGTCAACAGCTTTAGAAGTGAATAGACTACTTAGAGGCCGGGGATTATACATGTACAAAAAGGGGAAAGACTCCACAAAGAGGATGTGAGATTTATGAACTTTGAGAAATAGCATTTGGCTGAGCCAGTGACGACAAGATCAAGTAGGGAAGCATGGGCCTCTGCGCCGAACCACTGTGCTAGAGCTTTGTGGACAAGAAATTCCATTTGTCTGGTTATTCACCAGGACTCCAAGTATACTGTTTTGTCTAATAAGAAGCTAAAATGGCCAAGTTCAGCTCAAAGGAAATACCACGGCCACTCAGGCAGCAATACTAGTTTACAGAATCTGGACAAAATTTAACTGCTGTAATGGAAGAGGGCTCAAGAAGGAATGCATGAAGTCTATACCTTAAGTTCTGTTTAAAGTGACACAAAAATAATAGCTTGTCATGTGAGCAACCAAAAAAAAAGCATCATGTGGCCAGATGCGTTGGCTCATGCCTGTAATCCCAGCACTTTGGAAGGCTGAGGCGGGTGGATCACAAGGTCAGGAGTTCGAGACCAGCCTAACCAACATGGTGAAACCTTGTCTCTACTAAAAATACAAAAATTAGCCAGGCGTGGTGGCGCATGCCTGTAATCTCAGCTACTCAGGAGGCTGAGGCAGGAGAATCGCTTGAACCTGGGAGGCAGAGGTTGCAGTGAGCCAAGACTGTGCCACTGCACTCTGCCCTGGGTGACAGAGCGAGACTCTATCTCAAAAACAAAAAGCATCATGTTTTTTAGTCATAAATGGATTACGACAGAAAAAAAAATCACTGTGGTGTACTGTCAGAAGGCCCTCAAAACACTTTCCAGTATTCAGAGTGCAGAGGAAAAAAATCGGGAGGAAATTCTGCTTGTAAGTGCTCATTAGACATTCCCAATAAAGGAAAATCCCTTCTTCAAATCTCACATAAACTGGCCCCACATACACAGAAAGCAACCGGTAAGTTGCTAAAGTAAAGGATGAAAAGGCAGCCACAAATAATAGTCCACGAGTTTCTGAGGACAAGATTATGATATTATAAGGAGCTCTTTTTCACTGAAGTTGCCCAACGCCAACTATCCTATCTTTTACCACAACTTAACTGTTAGACTTTCACCAGAAATGTCTGCCTTATCTTTGTCTCATGATGAAAATAAAGACTGTCCAAGCAACCACAAGAACCATAAATGTGGTTCTCATCGATGGGGACACACGGGGGACAGCGACTTGTCAATCTCAGACTGTGCAGGCATATACCCTTCAAAGCAGTGGTTCCTCTGCATTATAGCACTGTGTGACACAGAGAAAAAAAATAGAAACAGACGATGGTCTGTAGCAAGGTTGCTTCTGGAGGTATTAAATTATGCATCTCTCCTCTCTCTGCTTCTCCTTCTTCCCTCTTTCTTCATTTCCTGCTGTACCCTCTCCATGTGGCTTTAATAACTGCGAGCTTCTGCCTGTATCTGAAATGGCTACAGGTGTTGCCATCACATTACCAATGTGTTGATTTAATAGAGTATTATTGTGGCATTTCACTCCACTGCCTGAACTTTGTGGAAAATGGCAACCTTGAATGGGGTGGAAGACACTCATCTCCCCCTCAAGTGAATTCTTTGCAGATTTATGTCTATCAGTGATTGATTATGACCGACCTCCACATGTTATCCAGTTCCAATAAAATTTTAGTTAAATAGAAGCCTTAAGGAGAGTAATCCCTGCTCTCTCAAACATCACTACAAGGGGATCCCATTTCTAGTTCAAATTCAATCTTGAAGTAGTTTCCTTTTAAGCTGAGTCAGTTAGAATTAACATGGATTGAAAGAAAAAAAGATTAAACAACTTTTGAAAATAATTGTAACTACTGAAATGACAATAACTGAAATTTATTGAGAATACCGTACTTCAGGTATTGTGCTAGGACATTTACCTGGCTTATCTCATTTAACAATTATTTGGTGGAATCTAACAATTTTAAATTGCTCACAGTATTGGTAAGTTAAACTAGCAATTTGTTTTTATTTTCCCACACTGAATTATATATTAGATGCCTTTATTTTTTTAGTTTTGTAATTTAAAAAAATGTACCCAGGTCTTCATTGCAGATATTCTTCAGTATGGAAAACTCCCCATTTCCTCTCTACTTCTCTTTACTACCACTGTGCTTTTTTTTTTTAAGTTGGAAAGGTAGCCCATATTTTAGAACTATAAGATAATTTCCTGTAGGTTTTTATTCTAAATTTTTTGTTTAGAATAATATGAAAGCATTCATTTATGGGATGATATCTAATATTAGATAATATTAGATAATAATATTGTTGATATTATATGTCAGCTTTTATAGCTCATAGTCAAATTTACAACAATTCAATCTCAGATGTCTAGAATATATTTGTCCTTTCTGTAAATGATTTGCATCTTTTCATAAAATCTTAGTTTGAACTACCCAGATATGCCTTCTTGTTTTAGGGTGCTTCAAATGTCTTGGGCAAGAATTTAGGAGAATAATATAAATGATAAAGATGTAAACAAATGAACAATTACCACATTCTTTATAATGAAAGAATTGAAACTCTAGATGACAAGAAGATGGTATATATATGAGTAAATGTTAAAGCCCCGTCGTGTACACATGAGAATGTGGAAGGAAAGGGTCTTGTCCCCCTCGATGGGGACACACAGGGGATAGCAACTTGCCAATCTCAGACTGTGCAGGCACGTACCCTTCGAAGCAGCAGTTCCTCTGCATTATAGCACTGTGTGACACAGAGAAAAAAATAGGAACAAATGATGTGTCTGTAGCAAGGCTGCTTCTGGAGGTATTAATTTATGCATCTCTCCTCTCTCTGCTTCTCCTTCTTCCCTCTTCCTTTATTTCCTCCTGGAGTTGGGCCTTACAGCTCCTTGTCTGAGGGATCTGGGCAGGGAAGGCAGCAGAAGCTTCCAGAAGACAAAGGCTCTTCAGGCCAAGTGCCCTGGATACAGGGTGAAGAGAAGGAGCTTTGGAAAGAAAGATCTGAGGGTAAAGCCTGCAATGCCTCTCCTGGACCCAAGGATGGGTGAGTGACTGCTCTCTGGCCAAATGGCTGCTGCTTCATCCCTTGGTGAGAGGCACTCAGAGGGACGACTCGCAGCCTCAAGGAGGACGCCCTGTTCCTCTGGCCCAAAAGCAGCGAGAGCCTGATAACCGGGAGACAAGAGCAGGGGCCATCCACCTTCAGCAGGGACTGGCTATCCAACTGGCTTCTTCACCAGCCTGGTTGGAATTAAGTCCACTGGAAGGAAACAACAACTATTTTTAATATTAATTTAAGTTGTTTTTTTGTTTTGTTTTGTTTTGTTTGAGACGGACTCTTGCTCTGTCGCCCAGGCTGGAGTGCAGTGGCACAATCTTGGCTCACTGCAAGCTCTGCTTGCCGGGTTCACGCCTTTCTCCTGCCTCAGCCTCCCCAGTAGCCGGGACTACAGGCGCCTGCCACCACGCCCAGCTAATTTTTTGTATTTTTAGTAGAGATGGAGTTTCACCATGTTAGCCAGGATGGTCTCGATCTCCTGACCTCGTGATCCGCCCACCTTGGCCTCCCGAAGTGTTGGGATTACAGGTGTAAGCCACTGCGCCTGGCCTTAAGCTTTTACATTGGAATTTGTTTTGCCTTAAATTGGAAGAATAAAGACTGATTGGATGAATTGTGGAATCTATAGAAGGGAATATTCTGCCACTACTGAAATCCATGTGGTGCAGCCACACATGCTGATAGGGAAAGTGTCCAAGGTCCCACATTCAGTGAAAAAGCAAGACGTGTGATATGGTTTGGCTTTATGTCCCCACCCAAATCTCATGTTGACTTGTAATTCCCAGTGTTGGGGGAGGGACCAGGTGGAAGGTGATTGCATCATGGGGGCAGATTCCCCCTTGCTGTTCTCGTGATAGTGAGTTCTCATGAGATCTGATGGTTTAAAAGTGTGTGACAGTACCCGCTTCCCTCTCTCTCTCTCCTGATCGGCCATGTTAAGATGTGCTGGCTTCCCCTTTGCCTTCTGCCAAGGTTGTAAGTTTCCTGAGGCCTCCCCACCCATGCAGAACTGTGAGTCAATTAAACCTCTTTTCTTCATAAATGACCCAGTGTCAGGTAGTCATTTATAGCAGTGTGAGAACAATTAATACAACGTGGAATTTGATAAATATGATACATACATTCAAACACTTAATATACTGTATATACATACACACACATATACACATATGCATACATATACAAACATACACATATGTAAATACACACATACATACATACAAATACACAGACATGGGCACATAGACATACACACAAAGATGTACTCACAGACACACAAATACACAGACACAAGTACACAGACACACACACATATACTGTATACACACACGTGCATACACATATGTAATATGCATACACATACACAGAGACACAAATAAACACAAATAGACACACATACATACACCCACATAGACACACTCACCCCAAAGACACATACACATTCATATACACACACACACCCCATCTATCTATCCATCTATGTGCTCCATATGCACAGAGAATTTTGCAGTAAATGAGAAATGTAACAGTGATTACCTACGGGAGGGAGCAGTAAAGCATAAGACAATTTTTAAAATGCTGCATGTTGTGAGACTTTTAAAACACACATGTCTTAATTTATGATTTTTAAAAACGGTTTATAAATGGAAGAAATGTGAGAAAAGACATTTTTATATTTACTTGCACAGGCAAAAAATGTAAAGCCAACATATTTTTCGGAGCCTCATTTTCTAAATAATTATCTTCTTATTGATTATTTATAGATTGATTCAGAGAAAAATCACAAATTGTAAATCAAGTTGATTAGGATGTACTTCACTTGAGCTTTGGAAATATTTTGTGAATTCATTAATTTATAAATAAAATTGAGGGAAAATAATGGTATAATTAAAAATAGTTCCTACATGTTAGTGGACAACTTGCCTTCTAAGTTAGGACTTCAAAGTTGGTGAAACCCTTGTGCGCTTTATAGATTGGTTCTTCCTGCCCTCTGGTGGCCATTAATCGTTCCTACATATTAGTGGACAACTTGCCTTCTAACGGAGGACTTCAAAGTTGGTGAAACCCTTGTGCGCTTTATAGATTGGTTCTTCCTGCCCTCTGGTGGCCATTAATCGTTCCTACATATTAGTGGACAACTTGCCTTCTAACGGAGGACTTCAAAGTTGGTGAAACCCTTGTGCGCTTTATAGATTGGTTCTTCCTGCCCTCTGGTGGCCATTAATCGTTCCTACATATTAGTGGACAACTTGCCTTCTAACGGAGGACTTCAAAGTTGGTGAAACCCTTGTGCGCTTTATAGATTGGTTCTTCCTGCCCTCTGGTGGCCATTAATCGTTCCTACATATTAGTGGACAACTTGCCTTCTAACGGAGGACTTCAAAGTTGGTGAAACCCTTGTGCGCTTTATAGATTGGTTCTTCCTGCCCTCTGGTGGCCATTAATCGTTCCTACATATTAGTGGACAACTTGCCTTCTAACGGAGGACTTCAAAGTTGGTGAAACCCTTGTGTGCTTTATAGATTGGTTCTTCCTGCCCTCTGGTGGCCATTGCTCAAAATGCAGACAGAGCTGTGTGGAGGTGAAACAATGAAACTTTTTTTGTTTTTTCGCTTTGTTTTGTTTTGTTTTTGAGACGAAGTTTCGTTATAGTCACCCAGGCTGGAGTGCAATGGTGCAATCTCGGCTCACTGCAACCTCCGCCTCCCGGGTTCAAGCGATTCTTCTGCCTCAGCCTCCCGAGTAGCTGGGATTACAGGCGCCTGCCACCATGCCCAGCTAATTTTTGTATTTTTAGTAGAAACGGGGTTTCACCACGTTGGCCAGGCTGGTCTTGAACTCCTGACCTCAGGTGATTCGCCCGCCTTGGCCTCCCAAAGTGCTGGGATTACAGGCATGAGCCACTGCACCTAGCACAATGAAACTATTAATACAGCCCAGGCAGTGACTCACAGAAGCCTGAGAAATCCTCTCAATTTCCTCATTTTAATTTTGCAACATAATCTTGCTATCTTGATTAGTCTCACTCGATATTACTGACATAAAATCGAATTATGCCATCTCAAGTATTTCAGTTATATATTAAATTATCGAAAGCTACAGTAATTTTCTGTAAAACTTTTACATGTATAGTATATTGTTAGACCTTACCACAATAAGGGGTGTTTTGCAAATAAGAAAATAAAAACACTTTTAAGTGAACTTATTTTTTTTCTTACTGTTAGGTAAGTCCTTTAAATATTCTATATTTTTGTTTCACATTACCACTCCGTATGTTCTGTCAAGTGTACACTTACTATTCAGATTCCACGAGGAATAGAGTGACTCCGAGGGAGGCTGGTACACTTAGTAAGTGGCAGGCCCAAGGGTTGGAAAACAATCTGGCTCCTGAGTTTGTGTCTAAGCTTTCCTTCTTTTAAAAATCCATAGGGTTAATTGTGAAGTAATTTTTAAGCATTTAACTAGAATGTGTTGATAATGTGCAACTTGTAAAATCTTATAAGATACAATTTTTGTTTAAGGCAATGTTTGTTTACCTTTTTTTTTTTTTTTTTTCCTGAGACAGAGTCCTGCTCTGTTGACCAACCTGGAGTGTAGTGATGGGAGCTCTGCTCACTGCAACCTCTGCCTCCCGGTTTAAGCCTTTCTCGTGCCTCAGCCTCCCGAGTAGCTGGGATTACAGGAGCATGCCACCAAGCCTGGCTAATTTTTGTATTTTTAGTAGAGACGGGGTTTCACCATGTTGGTCAGCCTTGTCTCAAACTCCTGACCTCAAGTGATCCACCTGCCTTGGCCTCCCAAAGTGCTGGGATTTCAGGCGTGAGCCACTGTGCCCGGCTGGTTTACCGTATTTTTTAATACACTAATATGTGTTAGCCTCAAAGACCTAGTTTCTTCTATAAAGTTTATAAACCAGGCTTCATGATTTTAGGGGAGATGACTTTTTAGAATATCTAAAAGGAGATGTTTCATTTTTTAAACCAAAATTTAGAAGCAGAAGCTACCTGGCACTAGTGTCCTTTTATCCATCATGAAAGTCTAGTCCCTTTGGTAGGGGACAAATGGATGCTTGTGGCTCAAGAGAAAGTAAACCCTGAGAAAGAGTTACTGAGTTAGAGTATGGTTTCAGATAAAAACGGTGATTAACTTCAGAAGATTTTTTTTATAATTATGGAACTCCAGACTAAACATTCTTAGGGTTTCTGGTCCAAAAGAGCTTCATTAAAAAAATATATATATATATACTTGGACATTCCACTGATCGCCGCTGTTTCAGGTGGGGTCATTTTAAGCTGTTAGTCATCTCTGGACCAGTCGCTGTGATCATTCCAAATGATTTCCCCCTTGAATTTCAATGACATCTATGCTGGGCTCAAGGGCTCATGCCTGTAATGCCAGCACTTTGAGAGGCCAAGGTGGGTTGATCACTTGAGACCAGGAGTTTGAGACCAGCCTGGCCAACGTGGCAAAATCCTGTCTCTACTAAAAATACAAAAAAAAAAAAATTAGCTGGGCACGTTGGCTCATGCCTGTAATCCCAGCTACTCTGGAGACTGAAGCACGAGAATTGCTTGAACCCAGGAGGCAGAGGTTACAATGAACCGAGATGACACCACTGCACTCCAGCCTGGGCAACAGAGTAAGACTGTCAAAAAAAAAAAAAAAAAGAAGAAGTCAATGACATTTGGCTTATGTATGCAACTCATACAGTGCTGACTTTAAACAGCCAGTACAGTAGGAGAAAGGGAACGACCCCCAAGAACTAGAGAAGAATCATCATCGCATAGGAGTTAAGCACATAAGCCCCATGTGTAACGGACCAGGTCAGGTGCTTGCTGAGTCACCAGTGATGCATCTGGAGATGTGTGACTCCCTGCAGCATCAAAGCAACTCCTGGGAAGTCTCACGGAGGCAGAAGAGAGACTCAGTTATAAATGCAAATGCTAAATCTGGCCGGCTGTACTGCCTATGTGAAGACCATATTAAAATAACCAGGCAACTTTTTTGATGTTAATTTAATAATAACAGCTATGCAAAATACTTAAAAACCAACTGTTTCAATTCAAGCAAGTCCCACTTCCACCCTAGGGGTGGGGTATTCTTTTTAACCCGACTTTCATGATGGATAAACCAAGGCACAGAGAAGTTCAGTAACTTTTCCAGGACTCCAGTCTCGTAAGTGACAGGGAGGACGGACTCCTGGGTCCACCCTGGCATAGAAGCATACTGTGTTATCTGTGTAACGGCCCGCCTGCCGGTGCTGCAAGCTCCCGAGGATGGGAAATGTGTGTTACCTTTCCACCGGAGGCCCAGCACCTTCATCACTGCTGCTTTCCTAGCACAGTGTGTTTGTTGGTGTGGAGGAGTGTTTAGAAGGCAGGAATTTGCTCTTTTTTTTTTACATAGCACTGCCCTGGAGACAGGGACCAGATCTTCAAGAGGGAACATTATTTATTCATCATCGATTATGGTTGCAGTGTGAAACAGAAAGAATACAGACACAAAATACACAGTACCTGCTCTCACAGGCCTCACATCTTCTTAAGATGACAGAGTGATATTAATTTTAAGATAAAATTCTTATTTAAAGGCTGGCTTCCATATTAATCCTAAATGAGTGTGGGCTTCATATTGGAGTTTCAAAATACAGGAATCAAAAGCTGATAGAACTGAAAAGGGGAAATAAGTCTGCAATTCTAGCTAGAGATTTCAACACAGTAATGGATAGAATCAGTGCCTAGACAATCTGTGGAAAGACAGAAGAGCTGGACAACTCTACCCTGCCCGGGACATTAGTGACCACACCCAATTGAAGCAAATACACATTCTGCTCACAGGCATTTGGGACATTCACCAAGAGAGAAGAGAACACATTCTGGGCCATAAAATGAATGTGTGTTGGAAAGGATGGAAATTCTGCCACATTCGCACCCCCAGCTGCAAAGCCTCTCTCTGGGTGCAGATGGAGAGAACAAGCCTGCTGTTGGGGTGACAGGCAGCACCTGTGTGCAATTGTACAGGCCTGCACTAAACAATCTCAGAGTGTGCAGGAGAGGAGAAGGTGGTGAGACATGTGGAAGGGGAGCCATCAGCAGGACACAACTCCTTGCAGCAACTGTGGGGCTCAAGAGAGGAGTAACAGCCAGGAATATTCACTGGTTCCTGGCTTGGGTAATGGTGTGGGTTATGATTTAATTCACTAATCATAAAAGTGCAAGGCAAGAGGAAAGATTTGGAATGAGTCTGTGCATCTGTGTCATTGTGTGTGTGTCCATGAGTTTGTGTGTGTTTGTGTGTGTCTCTGTGTGTCTGAGGGTGTCTGTGTGTCTGTGCATGTGTTGGTGTGTGTGTGTATGTGTGTGTCTGTATTTCTGTGCATGTCTGTGTATGAATGTGTGTGTCTGAGTGTGAGTGCATTTGTGTGTGTATAAGTGTGTGTGATTAGTTCAGATTTTCTGTCTTATCTATTGGAGAGAATACCAATTTGAACACAAGTGAGATAGCTCTCCTAGATAAATGGATGTCCAGGTCAAGCGCATTCAGGCGGTGGACAGGCCCAAAGTTGTGAGTGGAGAGTGGGGAGGAAGAAGTGATGGGAGAGGGTCCTGAACACCTCCATTAACAAGGACACTGATGGATGGGCAGAAGCTGAGACCATGAAGCTTGTACTGCAGAACTAGGAAAGGAGAACCCAGTGGAAGGAGTTTGGCAGGCATTACTGGTCGTCCACTCAACAAGCATTGCTCCTCCATCCACACTGGCAGAACCTGGCCACCCCTTTCTTCGTGAATCAGGACAGTCCTGATGAGCGTAAGCCTGTCCTGTGGTCCCCTTCCCTATTGGATTGAATCATTTAGAGGGGGGAATGGCTCCTAAGCCCAAATAGGACTTTTTCTACTTAGGAACTCATAAGCTAAGGGGAGTCTTTTCTTTTTAGGCTGTGAATCATTTATGCTGGGACAAGAGGCTGCCGAAGGATTCCTAGAAAATTTTTTCAGGTTCTCAAAGCTGGGGAAGAAACAATTTCCTTGCATTTGGTGGACAGTGATGTGTCTGGTTTTGCTCTTTCCAAACACAGGTACTCTCACACTGTCACATGTCACACACATGCACACAGCACTCTCTGTTTCTATTTCTCTCTATTACTCTTCCTCCCTCCTTCCCTCTTTCTCTTCCTTCCAACTTCCTATGCCTTCTCTCAAACACACACACACACACACACACACACACACACACACCACGAAAGCTCGAGTGGATCGAGCCCCCAAATCAGCATAACATCTGAACATGGCCACATTGAAAAAGGCAGCAGTAGCGCCTTGATGATGTGGGCCCTGATGATGAATTAATCTTGGGGACTCCAGATATTGGGAGCTCTTGTTGCCAAGTGTGGCTAGTTTGCCTGAGATAATAAAATTTCCTTATAGAGTCTTTCATTTTTACCCATTTTTTAAAAAAACAAAGCTAAAGACATTCCGATTTTTATATGGTGGCATCTCAGACACTCGCCTGAAAAGTTGCTTAAAGGAGGGGAAGGTGAAGCAGTGACAAGTTCATTGGTGACATTCACACAAGCGGCTTCAGTGTGACCCACATGAACGCAAGATTCATCGCGTAAGATTCGAGAGTAAATGAAAAGTGAGGAGGCAGGA
Source organism: Homo sapiens (assembly GCF_000001405.40). Classification (NCBI taxonomy): domain Eukaryota; kingdom Metazoa; phylum Chordata; class Mammalia; order Primates; family Hominidae; genus Homo; species Homo sapiens. The sequence continues at coordinate 4,810,335 of NC_000010.11, read as the reverse complement.
TGTGTAGGCCCTGCACTCTTCTCTACAGAATTTGGCTGTGAATGGAGAGATTGGATGAAAGCCAGATGAGGTCAGAGTGACGATACTTTCTTGTGTTTTGGGTTTAGATTTCTTTTGCCCTTGTTGTTTTAGTTTTGCTTTGTTGCCTTTTTGTTAACGGGCATTGGACTGTGTTTATTTGCTGAGGGCGAGGCTTCATTGAAAGAGGGAAAACTTGGCACAAAGAAGAGCTTGGATGTCATCAGCGAGTAGAGAAGCAGAGAGAAATGGCTCCTTAAGGAGAGGTGGGAGGACAGGCCTCTCTCCTCAGGAACTAACAACTGGGTTGTCTGCTTCCGCTGCAGAGTTGTCCTGCAGCAACCCTTACACACTTCTCAGCAGAAAACCGTAGCTTCCTCGAGGCTATTAGAGCTTTGCCCCTATTAATTCTCTACTCCAAACAACACCATTAAGACTCTGGCCATTTGTGAATGGTATCTGCGAAGGAACAGTAAATATCCCATGATGTTGCTCTCAAGCCCCAGCGCTGACGACAGAGAACAGCCCGACAGTTTTTGTCCTACGGTCTCCTAACCAAGGATCTCCAACAAAGGTGGAAAGAAGATACCCTGGGTCTATCCCAAGCCTCCGTTTCTCAGGTTCCTTCATCTGTCTGTTCATCCCGTCTTCCATTCCTGGATCACCCGGTCTTACCGGACACTGCTATAATTCCTCTGTGTAACTCACAATGGAAAACCTGTTTACACATTGGGAAAGGGATGGAACCAACAGTTCTATGAGCCTTTTGGAATTGAAAACTTGCTGTGTCTGTGCTTAGATAGATATATTTGTAGTAAAGAACTCTCTGCATTCATTGTAAGTTTGATGTAGTCTGTGAGTCCAAAGGGCATTACAGACAGTGAACGCAGAACTGCAGAAGAGGATTATCTCACTTCTAGTCACTCTTCGCTCCAGCCAGTGCTCCACAAAGTTGTAGGGACGCTGGCTAATGAGACACAAATCATGGTGACATCTTTCCTCAAGAATCCACCCATGTCAGTGCTATTTAACCCAGAATAGTTCAACAAACATTATCGGGTACTTATTATGGAGCCAGGCACTGGGCTAGAAGCAAGGGATATAAATATAATACCATGTTGGGAGGCAGAAGCAGGTGGATCACCTGAGGTTAGGAGTTCAAGACTAGCCTGGCCAACATAGCGAAACCCCGTCTCTACTAAAAATACAAAAATTAGCCAGGCATGGTGGTGCATGCCTGTAATCCTATCTACTCGGGAGGCTGAGGCAGTAAAATCGCTTGAACCTGGGAGGTGGAGGTTGCAGTGAGCCAAGATCATGCCACTGCACTCCAACCTGGGCAACAGCATGAGACTTCATCTCAAAAAATAATAATAATAAAAATAAATAAAGAAATAAATGTAATACCACCTGAATTGCTCTCCAGGAGCTTAGACTTATAAGGAAGGCAACCTTTAGATAGGTAACTTCACTTTCACATATTTGCATGTGAATATATACCCATATATAATAGGTATCTGAACTGCCCATTATGGTATACACAAAAGAGGAAAATAGCCTTTTCTTGGAGAATGAGAGGGTGCCTGAGTGGAGACATAAAAAATGATGAAAATATGTCTTCATAATAAATATGGTATAAAAAAAATCCAGGAAAAGAAATAGTGTGAGCAATACAGTAGAGTCACAGAAAGACAAGAAATGTAGCTTTTGTAGACCACAATATTTCAGGAAAAAGAAGAGATGAAGCTGCAGGCTTTTGCTAGAGATCCATTTTTAATATGCTGAGGAATTTATACACTTAGAGATGAAAGGGGTCTTTAGAAAGCTAAGAAAGAGGGATGATTGATATTCTACTTTGGATGGATGGTGCCGGGACTCAAGTGGATTCAAGTGGGGATAAGATTGGAGGAAATGACTAATGTGGCATTGCAAATATTTCAGGCAGAAGACAATGGCACTGGATGAGAAAGGATGTGAATTATTCTAAAAATGTTTGCAAAGCGAAACCAGCAGCATGTAAAAATGGCATCACGTCATCACCATGTGTGGTTTATTCTGAAAATGAAAGGGTGGTTTAATATTCAAAAATTAATCAATGCTAATAAACCATATTAACAGACTAAAGAAGGAAAAGCATATGATCATCTTTTGAGATGCAAATAAAACCCTGAAATAATTCAATGTTTATTCATTCAATACAATAAAAAGTCCTCAACTAAAAAAAAAAACCCACAAAATACCTACAAATGAAGTCATTTATTAGTAAAAGATTGAATGCTTTCTTTCTAAAATCAGGAACAAGAAAAGGATGTCCCCTGTTACTATTTTTATTGGTCGTTGTAGGTAGCTCAATAAGGAACAAGAAAAAAGAAATGAAAGCACATAGATTGTAAAAAAAAAAAAAACAAAACAAAACAAAAAAAAACTGTTTCTATTTACAGATAGTGTAATTGTGTAAGAAAATACAAATGAATCCATAGGAGGCTACTAGAACTGAAACATGATATTAGCAAAACAATGTTTAAAAACCAGGCCGGGGCCCGGGCATGGTGGCTCATGCCTGTAATCCCAGCACTTTGGGAGGCCGAGGTGGGTGGATCACGAGGTCACTAGATTGAGACCAGCCTGACCAAGATGGTGAAACCCCGTCTCTACTAAAAATAGAAAAATTAGCTGGGCATGGTGGCACGCGCCTGTAATCTCAGCTACTCAGGAGGCTGAGGCAGGAGAATTGCTTGAACCTGGGAAGCGGAGGTTGCAGTGAGCCGAGATCGCGCCACTGCACTCCGGCCTGGTGATGGAGTGAGACTCCGTCTCAAAAAAAAAAAAAAGAAAAAAAAAATCAGGCCGGGTGCGGTGGCTAATATGTGTAATCCCAGCACTTTGGGAGGTGGAGGGAGGAGGATCCCTTGAAGCCAGGAGTTTCAGATGAACCTGCCCAACATAGCAAGACCCTGTGTCTACGAAAAAAGAAAATTAGCTGGGCATGTTAGTTTGTGCCTGTGATCCCAGCTATGAGGTGGGAGGATTGCTTGAGCCTCCATGTTTGAGGCTGCAGTGAGCTATGATTGTGCCACTGCACTCCAGCCTAGGTGATGGAGTGAGACCCCCCCATCTCTAATAAATAAATAAATAAATAAATAAATAAATATCAGTTGCATGTTAATGTGCTAGCAATGAACAATTTGAAATTGAAATTTCAAGACTGCCATTTTAATAGCACCAAAAACCTAAAATAATTATGATGTATAAATGTAACAAACTCTGTGAATGACCTGTATGTCAAAAAATTTAAAAAAAAGTATGAAAGAAACATTGATTAAAGACCACCTAAAAAGACATGAAGATGTTCTCTAGTCATGATCTGGAAGACTCAAGTGATATTGTCATTTCTCCCCAAATTAATTTATAGAATTAATGCAATTTGAATCAACATGACACGTGATTTTTAAAATAAGAGTTGACACAGTGCTTCTAAAATTTAGTAAAAATTCAAAAGAATAACCCAAACCACACTGAAAAAGGGAGAACATAATTGGAGGGCTCACGCTACCTGGCTCAAGGCTCACTGTAAAGCTGCAGTAGTCAAGTCAGTGTGGCATTAGCAGAAGGATAGACACCTGAATGAATGAAACTGAAAAGAGTCCAGAAATAGACTTGCTAAATATTGTCAATTGATTTTCTACAAAGCTTTGCAAAGGCAATTCAATTGAGAAAGGAAAGTCTTTGTAGTAATCGATGCTGGGATATTCGTATGCATAAAAATTGCACTTTGACCCATATCTTGCACTGTATAGAAAAATTAACTCAAAATAGATTATAGACTTAAATATTAAAACATATAAAGTTTGTTTTTAAAATTGCTTTAAGTTCCAGGATACATGTGCAGAACATGCAGGTTTGTTACATAGGTACACGTGTGCCATGGTGGTTTGCTGTACCTATTGACTTGTCCTGTATGTTTCCTCCCCTTGCTCCCCGTCCCCCAACAGGCCCTGGTGTGTGTTGTTCCCCTCCCTGTGTCCATGTGTTCTCATTGTTCGACTCGTACTTATGAGTGAGAACATGCAGTGTTTGGTTTTCTGTTCCTGTGTTAGTTTGCTGAGAATGATGGCTTCCAGGTTTATCCATGTCCCTACAAAGGACATGATCTCATTCCTTTTTGTGGCTGAATAGTATTCCATGGTGTATATGTGCCACATTTTCTTTATCCAGTCTATCACTGATGGGCATTCGGGTTGGTTCCAAGTCTTTGCTATTGTGAATAGTGCTGCAGTAAATATACATGTGCGTGTGTCTTTATAGTAGAATGATTTATATTCCTTTGGGTATATACCCAGGAATGGGATTGGTGGGTCAAATGATAATTCTGGTTCTAGATCCTTGAGGAATCACCACACTGTTTTCCAAAATTGTTAAACTAATTTACATTCCCACCAACAGTTTAAAAGCCTTCCTATTCCTCCACAGCCTTGCCGGCATCTATTGTTTCTTGACTTTTTAATAATCGCCATTCTGACTGGCGTGAGATGGTATATCATTGTGGTTTTGACATATAAAATTTCTAGAAGTAAACTTGATGACCGTAAGTTCAGCAAAGAGTTCTTAGATATAAGAATAAAAACACTGTCCTTGAAAGAAAAGGTCAAATATAATTAATCAAAATTAAGAAATCCTGCCTTTTGAAAGACCCTGTTAAGAAAATGTAAAGACAAGCCAAACACTATGAGAAAATACTAGCAAAACATATATTTAATCAATAAGTAACATTCAAAATATATAATAAACTTTGAAAATTCAATAGTGAAGAAAGAGAGCAATAAAAATTGGGCAAAATATTTGATAAGACATTTCACCAAGATATATGAATAGAAAATAAACGTGAAAAGATGCTGAATATTCTTAATTATTACAGGAATTCAAATTAAACCACAATAAGATACTACTACACCTCTATTAGAATAATCAAAATAAAAAAGCACTGGCTACATAAGTGTCAGCAAAGATGCTGACCAAACAGAACTCTCCTCTATTGCTGGTAGAAATGCCAATGGTATAGTCACTTTGGAAAAAAACATTTAAAGTGGCTTTGTTTGTAATCCTCCCTGGAAACTGGAAACATGAAGAGACCTTTCTACCATATTCACACATTTACCCACTTCCAATCTTTATTTTACTAGGAATCTTTTAATGATAAACATATTCCAAATAAGGACCAATAAGGATTTTGAATATTAAAAAGTAGAGGTTTTTAAATTCTGAGGATTAGTGATAATGTACATGTTGGCACATATGTATTTTATTTTTACCTGTATACACTTTCTTATTCTTCTGCAAATCAAAGTATACATTAACCCTGAGACCCCAGCTCCTTCATTTCATCCTCACGTGATAAACTCTGGGAAAACTTTAAAACACATTTACAAAGGACATGATTGCAACTTTTGCATGCTCTTTCAGCAGAGCTAAATTCAGGATATAATTATTTTCTTTAAAAATTCGGTTGACTCAACATATTTTCTAAAGAGGAAATTCCAAGGCATTGAAAAACACATCTGTGTTATACAGAAAACATTTTCTAAGCAGGAAAAGTCTTTCTGACTATGCAAAATATCATCAGATTTTCAATTGCATGTTATCTCTATCCAAAGACTCCTTTTCCTTGAGTCAGTATGGTTTAGAAACATGGGCAAGCAAGTCATGGTAATGTCAGAAGCTTAGCCAAACTACTATGAAAAACAGATACTGTATTAAGGGATTTTCTTGGGACAAAACAGCAGCTTTTTAAGTCAGCTCTGCATCTCTGGTTTGCACGGTTAGGCTTGATAATGGCACGCGTCTCAAAAGCCCGAGATGAGCGATGCCTTCGCTGCTCCTCATAGACGTACTACCAACCACTGGTAATTATGTCTTTAATCTTTTGAAGTAAAATGTTGTTGATTCTTTTCAGCTTGTATTTTTCTCTACATCTCATTAAAAGCCTACAATGAGTAAAAGTAATAGATGAAAAATTGATGTGGATGATGGAATCTAGAAATGAGACTTGAGAGCCTGATGCATCACCTGTCCATCGCTGGTTTTCAACACATTTCTTCTGCCCCTCATGGAAGGAGGTGGGACCCACACTTCCAGCCCTTTGGAGCCCCTGGGGAAACTCTGAGATATTCCAGTCCCCACCTCTGTGTGTTCTGATGTCACAGGTCCACTCCACAGGAGGACTGGAACACAGAGGTCTGACACAACAGCCAAATCTAAGCTGCACAACTCTATACCTCTAACAAGCAGTTTAGAAAATATGCTGATATTATCGTTTTTATAAAGAAAACCATTTCAAAATTCTGCATGTTTCAAGAAGTTGGAGATAATTTCCTTTATTTTGAGGAAGACAATACTGAACTATGGGAAGATGGACAAGGTTAGTTCCAGCACAGAGAGTCAAGCTCTCGACAGACATTGGCCTGGACACACAGAAGGACAGGGTTCAATACTCTCTACCAAGCAAGAAAATCCTTCTGTTTCCAGGCTACTGGGAAAGCTAGTTCAGAAAAGGTGGGCTCCATATACTCTCATTCCTTTCTGCACCCCTAAAATCCTGAGACAAAGACATATTCCTAAACTAGGCAAATGTTCAAGCAGTCATTGTAGATTCTGAAACCAAAGGGAAGTGTGATTTGCCTCTTGTTGTATTTATTTGTTGTGTTGTTTTTGTTTATTGTTACCCTTCCAAGTCATAATAAGTAACATTTGAGAAGCTGCACTAAGGTGTCAAATGTCGCTCTTGATTACAGGTCAAGTACAATTTCGACAAATATTATTTTAATTGAGTGATTTCTTAACAACGCAGTGTCCTCATTCTGGTAGATGGGCCAAAGAGGCTTAGCTTTATTGCTTTGTTAAAAGTCAGTCACTCTGTGATGAAAGATGCTATTTTGCACGGGCTACTCTATAGATCTACATGAGAGACCTCCTTGAGCTGTGGCTACTTTTCTGCAGGGTTAGGTAGGGATGTGCTCTCCATGGTTCCTGCCAGCAGGAATCCCTCCCTTCCCCTTCCTGGTGCTCCTCCTCCACAAGTACACAGTCCACAGACCTTGAACTTAGGTAGTGAGAGTAAGAAAGGAAGGGAAAAGAAAAAAAGAGGTAAAAATAAACATCTATAAGTTCCATATACACTGCTGTGAGCGAATGTGTGTGCTTTAGCAGGAGAAAAATATTTTAGTATTGAACAAGCCAACTCAACCCGGACTTTTCCTGCAGAATCCTCAAATAATTAAGCATCCAATAGAAAAAATTAAGCCAGTATGTGACATCATCTGGCCTAGTTTCAAGAACAACTCTACATTAAACATTCTTCACTCTTTCACCTGATGGGCAGGTTGAAGTTTGGCATTGCCTTATACCCCATCCCTTGCTGAACACTGGAAAGGAAGTCACCCCTATGATTAGTGAACGTGTGTCTACTTGTCTGGTCTTCTTCTCGTTCAACAACAACATAAACTACAAAAGCCTGGATTTTTTCTAGTGCTAGGAATTTGGATCATTTAAAACATCTGATCAAATTCAGGTAAAATAAAACTAGTGCAGAAATTACCTATGAAAGAAAAATTGAATAAGAATAAAAGATCAGTGTGTTGGTTGCTTTCCCATCAAACTTGTACAAGGATAACATAGGCTCAGATATGTAAACATCTAAAAATTAAGAAACATGTGACATGAAATGTACACAAAATTTAAAACATGAAACTATAGCAAACTGGCTATGTACTGTTGTGTATTTGCTTAGAAACAGAATATTTCAAGAATTGAATTTAACAATGCATGAACTTATTTACAATTAAAAACAACTTTATAAGGCATATTTCTCAATTTTAATACCCAATCCAACAGCCCAATAAAAGTGGAGAAGCCCTTAACACTTCTTGTATCTTTAAAAGACTAACATTTTCTTTAAGACTTACAACTAAATCTTTAAATAAGAATTAGCTATTTTAACATTAGAAGATAACAATTTTTTAAAGGACTGCATTGTTTTTGCTCAGAGAGTTGCATAGAAAAGGACCTTATCCTCCCCTCTTTTTCTGCTACATACACACACACACACACACACACACACACACATATATACACATCCCCCTCACAAATCAAGTCTTTTCATTTAAAACAAATATTTTGGATGAGGTAATCCTAAGAGTGTCTGAAAGACAACTGTCTCTTTTTTGGTGGGGGAAAGAGTGGAATTGGAGAGAAATCATAAAAAACACTGATGTAGATAATTAGTTGAAGAAATAATATTCATGTTTTTAATAAAATTTTTAAAATTCATCTAAAGCGGTTACTTTATTCATTTGTTTTTACATTAATTCATCTAACAACTATTAATTAAAACCACTAGGAAGTGGAAATTAAAATACTTAAGCAAGTCTTTTTGGTTGCAATTAACAAAACCCCTCTGAGCTGGCAGAATGCAGCACCAAGGGCTGTGGTACAGATCTGAGGCACCTAAGGGAAGGCAGAGGGGCAGCAGGGCCTCCCAGGGAACCATGCCACAGGCTCGCTGTGACCCAAGGTGACAAACCTCTCATCTCTGTGTCTCTCTTCTGCTTTGTTCTTTTCTCTCCTTGCAAACAAACATGTTCTGATTTTGGGTGTGCATGAGTCAAAACAACCCAAACTCTCCTCAGCCCTGCCTGCAGGACACCAGTTAAGCGGCTTACAGACACTCGTTAGAGTTTGAAATCCAAATCCACATTCCAGGAAGAGAGCATCCTGTTGGCCTTGCCCTGCTCTCATGACATCTCAGGTTCATCAGTTATACCTAGAATGTTTCTCAGGAAGGGGTTTGGGCTTGGAGAGTGGATCCAGGAGTTGTGAAATCAGAACAGAGCTTTCAATGCAAGGGTGCCCAACACCCCCGCTTCATGATCTGATAGAAAATCTGATAATGTTATATAACCACACAAACAATGTTTGAAAGTCAACATACTGCCCTGACTGTAATGTAAAGGAGAAACAAAAGGAAGATAATTTAAGATAAAATGATATGATTTTAGTATTTAAATACTAAGACACACCCAACTGCACATCCATTATGTGTAAAATCACTGTGAAGGTGACAGTTACATTCAAATACGGAGCAATTTGATATAGGTGAGTTGTATCGGATGCTTAAATGCCATAAGAGCAATGCTCTTTGTGATGATTTTCCTGAAATATGGAGAGTTTAGGGTACATTTCTGAACTTAAACTACCATCTTCTCTCAATTTAAACATTAATTGAATTTCTATAAAATTTAGTGTATATTAAAACTATGCAAAAATGTGTGCTTTATTTAAGCTTGTGGAGGCTCAGAGAAATAGATTAGTGTCTGAGAGTCTGTGAGTAAGCAGCAGGGCCCTGGCAGGCTGTGCAGGAGGAGGATGGCTCTGCATGGCGGTGGCTGCTGTCCCACTCACTGTAGGACAGTCGGATCCCCTGACATGCTCTACTAAATAACAGTGACACCCACACCCATCGTGACACTTGCAGATATCCCCACACATTCCAGGTTACCGTGCCCATGAAGGGCCATGGTTTTTAGAAATACACTTCCTGAAAGAGAACTTCACAAGCATTAAATCCCATTGCTTCCCTGCCTTTCAGTTCCCAAAGCCTGCACTTTCTCCCACTGAAGTTTGTCTCTTCAAAGTTGCCAATGTACACCTTAAACACATTGGTAATGTTCAGCCCTTATCTTACTTGACCTATATTTCTCTGGCTACATTCATGCAGTTTCCCATGTAGACATCTCTTCTGATACCGTCTCTTTAGTGTTGATGCTCTTCAGATCTCAGCCCTACCGTCTCCACTTTTTATCCCACATGCTCCTAGGGGCATCCTTTTCTCTCTCAGACCTTCTGTGATTAGCTCTAGGCTGATGTTTCTAGCATTTATATCTTCAGTGCAGACCTCTCATTAGAGATCCACGGAGAATGTTCAGCTGCCTCCTAAAAATCTCCCTTCAACAGTCCCACAGGGACCTGAAATGCAACACCTATAAAACCAACCTTAACATCTCCCCACCCACCCACCTTTCCCCTGCCCCAGGGACCATATCTTAGTTTAATGGAGTAATAAGTGGAATAAGACACCCATAATCAAGAAGGTGTTGGCTGCCCTTCTGGGTGGGCAGAGCTATATTTTCACATGAGAGCACAGTTATCCTTGATCCTCTAAGTCACTCCAATGACTCTCTTGGTTATTGAAATGTTAGACTAGCAGATGCCTAGGCCCTGAGCAAAGACAATGCTACAATCTTCTGGTTCCAGGTGAGTGCGTGTGACTGTCTTGGGAAAAGCTGTGTTTCCCTAGGGCATTCGGTTCACGAAGAGTCTAGGCAAGGTGAATAAGAAGCCAAGGGAACTTGCAAGGAGGTGACTAAGACTCATCCCTCCTTTCCAAGGTAGGTAAAGAGGAACGTGGAGGCGCTGAGCTTGTGGCTCTGACCAAGAATCACTGGCAGACAATGATCCAAGGACCCTACAGACCTGGATATGAGGTTGGTGGGATGTTGTGATAGAAAATGCTGAAGATCCCAGTATCCAGTCTCCGCTCATTTTCAAAGTAACTGAACCTTCCTTCTAAGTTTTAGCTAGGAATGTGGCCACCCACACCAACCATATTCCTCCATTCCCTTCCATCTTCACAACGGAGTTCAGGCCAGTTGAATGGAGTGAAGGGAATGTGTGCGTGTGTGCATATGTGTGCGTGCGTGTGTGCATGCGTGTATGTGTGCGTGTGTGTGTGCGTGTGTGCGTGTCTGTGTGCGTGTGCATGTGTGTGTGTGCATGTGCACCTCAGTCACAGAGCTCTCTGCTCTGGACTTTTCTTTCCCGTCTGCTATAGAACATGGACATACCAGTGGCCTGGCTTCAAATCTACAAAGTAGAAAAAGCCTCCAGGGCACAGAATCTTAGCCTAGGTTTCCATGAACTAGTTATGAAAATCATAATTATTACCTTATTTGTATGAACTTCTAAAAAATTTATCATTGCCTTTAACTAGCAATGAGGAAAAAAGAAACAATAGCTTTAGCAGTGCCTCTGATCCACCAACTGAAACGTTAGATGATTTCATATCGTATCACAGTAATGGAAGAGACTTCAAAATAAGTGTATCGTTTATGCTCATCACCACTTCAAAGTGATGCTGGGCACCAAGTTCCTCCTTCAGACTGGGTTATTTAATGTCTTATTAAAGAAACATATGTTACCATAACACAGTTTTCAAATATTTTGTTTTTATATTTTTATATTTTGAAAACTATATTCATTTTGTTTCCTTTGTAGCCATCTGTTTTTTGTTTGTTTGTTTGTTTTTGCTCTTGCTCTGTTACCTAGGTTGGAGTGCAGTGGTGCGATCATAGCTCACAGCAACCTCCAACTTCTGGGCTCAAGCAATCCTCCCACTTCAGCCTCCAAGTAGCTGGGACCACAAGTGTATGCCACCACGCCTGGCTACTTTTTAAATTTCTTGTAGAGATGGGATCTCCCTATGTTGCCCAGGCTAGTCTTGAACTCCTGGGCTCAAGTCGTCTTCCCAAGTGCTGGGATTATAGGCATATAGGTGAGAGCCACCATGCCTGGCCATTTATATTATTATTTCTTTTTGAGGAGTCTATAGGCTTTAACATGCTGCCAAAAGAGAGCACTACATATGATAAGGGTGAGATCTGTTGCCTAGAGTGTGGTTTAATAATACTATGAGAGGAGCCTAAGTAAATGATTCCATACAGCAAACTGCTCCACAGCCTGGACCACTCACTGTGGAATTGCTACATGAAAGATGAATGAAATTCCATATCCTTTAGCACAGCCTCCATGTGCTTCTCTGTTTAGCAGGCATGGAATTGATTCTCCCTCAGTGTCTCCAAAAAGAACCAACCCGGCTGACGCTTTCCTTTTGGATTTCTAATCTTCGGAACTATGGAAGAACAAGTTTCTGGTGTTTTAAGCCACAAGTTTATGGTCATTAGTAATTGCAGCTCTAGCAAACCCATACAGATTTTGCTACTAAGAAACAAGGTCCTTCTGTAACAAATATCTAAAAATGTGGAAGTGGTTTTGGAATTGGGGGTTAAAGGCTAGAAGAACTTTGAGGCAAATGACAGAAAAATCTAGCTTGCCTGGACAAGCCTGTTGGGGGAAATATGAGTGCTTAAGGTGATTCTGCTGAGGTGAAATATGAATGCTTACAGTGATTCTGCTGACATGGAGACCTCAGCAGAAATCGCAGATGGAAATGAGAAAAGTGTTACTGGAAATGCTAGGAAAGGAAATCCTTGTTATAAAGTGGCAGAAATTTGCCTGAGTTGTATTCTGAGGTTGAGTGCAAAGGATAATTTGTAAGCAGTGAAGCTGTCTATTTAGCTGAGGGTATTTCAAGGAACGTGAAGAAAGTAAGGCCTGGTTTCTTCTTAATCATTTTGGTAAAATATGAGAGGAGAGAGATAATTTGAGGAAAGAATGTTGGAGCAAAAAAGGAACCAGGACCTGATGACTTAGGAAGTTCTGAGCCTTTTTGGAAAGCAAAGGATACCGTGATGAGGAAATTCACTGTGGACAGAGAAAGGATGTTCTATAATGAACACCAAGGGAGTGCCCAGAAAACTTTTCACTGAAAAGATTAGGCATGTATCGCGGATCCAATCTCAGCAGAATCCAGGAATAGAGACAGGGTTACCCAGGAAGAATTCTGGAGAACTCTTCTGTCTAGTGACATAGATTCCCTCGATATACACAGGAACCTATGAGGATTTTGAGAATGTTAAATCAGTAGAAACACGGCCAACTTTGACCCAAAGGGACAGAGACAAGACAAAATGAGAGAAAGTCATGGGACTTATAAACTTTACAAGCAGGAAACGCCAGTAGGGCTACTTGACAGCCAACATGCTCTACCCTTTCAGAAAAAGGAAGAATGACTCCAAGGACAGAGGTGTGGATGTAGAGAGCGACTGAGCTACCGCCACCTGCACCCAGAAGCCAGTCACAGCACTGCTGCAGGCCCAGGGGCAGGGGCCATCCACGGAGCTGCTGTGGGCCCAGGGTGTGCAGGATCATGCCGCAAAAGATTGTTCTCAGGCCGTAAAACCTAATAGAATGTGCTGTGCTAGGTTTTGCTTAATTCCAGTGTCCCCTTTATCCCTCCCGTTTTTCTCCTTTTTGGAATAAAAGAAAAAGCAATAACAAATGTCTTCCTAGTTTTAAATGGAGAAGATGTAAACACACCAATGTATCTTGGGAGCGGATAACTTGTTTGCTAGATTCAGAAGTCCACAGAAGGAGAGGAATATCATCACCCTAGGATGGATCCTTCCCAAAGTTTCACCCATATCTGATTTAGATGATTAGATTTGGTATCTTTGACTTGATAATATTTTTTGTGAGATTTGAGGCTAAGAATAGATAGTCCAACGCGTTAAAATTGTCAGGGATGTTGGGATGAGGTAGATGTCACCTTCTCATGGAGCAGACATGGATTTGGAGTAGACAGTAGGCAGATGGTAGAGGGCTGTAATGGTGCCTCTCCAAAAGATATGTCCACTGGGAACTTCAGAATGTGACCTTTTTTTGGAGTAAAGATTTTAGAAGATGCAATTAAAGGAAGAATTTCAAGATGACATCATTTTGGGTTGGGATTGGCCCTAAATCCAATAACTGGTGTTATTATAAGAGAAAGGAGATTCAGGTTTAAGACACATATACACAGCTCCCAAATGCAACCCCTGTCCTGACTCCAGCCCTGCTCAAATTGGTTGTTTTGGGGATAGAAAATTTCTTCTATTTGTTCCAATCAGAGTGATGTCCAGGACTTCATTTCATGATTGGGGAAGAGACTGGACCACAGGCTTGGAACTTCAGCCAGCCATTTGCTACCAGAAAGGAAGGCAGCCTGAGTGTGCAGCCCAGACACAAAAGACTGGTAGAACCAGGAAAATCAGAGGAGCAGAACTGCAGCATGCATGAAATTTCTTTTGAAACTTGAAATACAAGAAGTCGAATCCCTGAATAGACCAATAACAAGTTCTGAAATTGAGGCAGTAATTAAAAGCCTACCAACCAAAAAAGCCCAGGACCAGGCAGATTGACAGCCAAATTCTACCAGAGGTACAAAGAGGAAGTTGTACCATTCCTTCTGAAATTATTCCAAAGAATAGAAAAAGAGAGACTCCTCCCTAACTCATTTTATGAGGCTAACATCACCCTGATAACCAAAACCTGGCAGAGACACAACAAAAAAGGAAAATTTCATGCCAATATCCTTGATGAACATTGATGCGAAAATCTTCAATAAAATACTGGCAAACCAAATCCAGCAGCACATTAAAAAGCTTATCTGCCATGATCAAGTTGGCTTCATCCCCAGGATGCAAGGCTGGTTCAAAATATGCAGATCAATAAACGTAATCCATCACATAAACAGAACCAATGACAAGAACCACCACATGATTATCTCAATAGATGCAAAAAAGGCCTTTGATAAAATTCAACACCCCTTCATGCTAAAAACTCTCAATAAACTAGGTATTGATAGAATATATCTCAAAATAATAAGAGCTATTTATGACAAACCCACAGCCAATATCATACTGAATGGGAAAAGCTGGAAGCATTCCATTTGAAAACCAGCACAAGACAAGGATGCCCTCTCTCACCACTCCTATTCAACATAGTATTGGAAGTTCTGGCCAGGGCAATCAGGCAAGAGAAAGAAAGCGTATTCAAATAGAAAAAGAAGAAGCCAAATTGTCTCTGTTTGCAGACGACATGATTGTATATTTAGAAAACTCCATCGTCTCATCCCAAAATCTCCTTAAGCTTATAAGCAACTTCAGCAAAATCTCAGGATACAAAATCTATGTGCAAAAATCACAAGCATTCCTATACACCAATAATAGACAAACAGAGAGCCAAATCATGAGTGAACTCCCATTCACAATTGCTTCAAAGAGAATAAAATACCTAGGAATAAAACTTACAAGGGATGTGAAGGACCTCTTCAAGGAGAACTACAAACCACTGCTCAAGGAAATAAGAGAGGACATAAACAAATGGAAAAACATTCTATGCTCATGGATAGGAAGAATCAATAATGTGAAAATGGCCATACTGCCCCAAGTAATTTATAAATTCAATGCCGTCCCCATCAAACTACCATTGACTTTCTTCACAGAATTAGAAAATATTACTTTAAAGTTCATATGGGACCAAAAAAAGCCCATATGGCCAAGACAATCCTAAGCAAAAAGGACAAAGCTGGAGGCATCATGCTACCTGACTTCAAACTATATTACAAGACTACAGTAACCAAAGCAGCACGGTACTAGTACCAAAACAGATATATAGACCAATGGAAGAGAACAGAGGCCTCAGAAATAACACCTACAAGCATCTGATCTTTGATAAACCTGGCATAAACAAGCAATGGGGAAAGGATTCCCTATTTAATAAATGGTGTTGGGAAAACTGGCTAGCCATATGCAGAAAACTGAAACTGGACCCCTTCCTTGCACCTTATGCAAAAATTAACTCAAGATGGATTAAAGACTTAAGCATAAGACCTAAAACCATAAAAACCCTAGAAGAAAACCTAGGCAATACCATTCAGGACATAGGCATGGGCAAAGACTTCATGCCTAAAACACCAAAAGCAATGACAATAAAAGCCAAAATTGACAAATGAGATCTAATTAAACTAAAGAGCTTCTGCACAGCAAAAGAAAGTATCATCAGAGTGAACAGGCAACCTACAGAATGGGAGAAATTTTTGCAATCTATCCATCTGACAAAGGGCTAATATCCAGAATCTACAAGGAACTTAAACAAATTTATAAGAAAAGAACAACCCCATCAAAAAGTGAGTGAAGAATATGAACAGACACTTCTCAAAAGAAGACATTTATGCAGCCAACAAACATATGAAAAAAGCTCATCATTACTGATCATTAGAGAAATGCAAATCAAAACCCAATGAGATTCCATCTCACACCAGTTAGAATGGTGATCATTAAAAAGTCAGGAAACAACAGATGCTAGAGAGGATATGGAGAAAGAGGAAGTCTTTTACACTGTTGGTGGGAGTGTAAATTACTTCAACCATTGTGGAAGACAGTGTGGCGATTCCTCAAGGATCTTGAACCAGAAATACCATTTGACCCAGCAATCACATTACTGGGCATATACCCAGAGGATTATAAATCATTCTGCTGTAAAGACACATGCACTTTTATGTTTATTGCAGCACTATCCACAATAGCAAAGACTTGGAACCAACCCAAATGCCCATCCATGATAGACTGGATAAAGAAAATGTGGCACATATACACCATGGAATAGTATGCAGCCATAAAAAAAGTATGAGTTCACGTCCTTTGCAGGGATATGGATGAACCTGGAAACCATCATTCTCAGCAAACTAACACAGGAACAGAAAACCAAACACTACATGTTCTCACTCATAAGTGGGAGTTGAACAATGAGACCACATGGACACAGGGAGAACATCACACACGGGTGCCTGTCGGGGGTTGGGGGGCTACGGGAGGTATAGCATTAGGAGAAATATCTAATGTAGATGACAGGTTAATGAGTGCAGCAAACCACCATGGCATGTGTACACCTATGTAGCAAACCTGCACGTTCTGCACATATATCCGAGAACTTAAAGTATAATTTAAAAAGAAAAAAGAAACTTGAAATACTCTGACTTTTCAGTTAATGTGTCAATAACTTTCCTTTTTAGCTTGAGCTAATTCCAGTTGCGACTTGCAGGTTATATTTTTGTTACACTGTCACATTTGCTAATACAATTGATTCATAAGATTTAATTTACAGAATGCACAATATATTTTAAACCACACATTTGCATCACATATTTCTGAGTATATATGCTGTGAGAGCCTTGGTAATTTTATCTGAGAGCTATGTATTATTCAGAACCACTAAGATCATATCTTTCAATCCCTCATTTCATAAGTGAGAAACTGAGCCCATCAAAAATAATTGAAATTGTTCAGCTTAATAGATGTAGGTAATGATGTAGGTAGGTTAAAAATTAGTTCCTTTTGACACAAAATCACTTCTGCCAGCACAGGACATGTTTCATTATGTTCCATGAACTGTGAAATTCTTATTCCAAGTAACCAAGCTAAATCAGCTAAGAGAGGTTTGTGAATGTGAGAAGAAGTCCTCTCTCACACCTGGAGTAGAAATCGAGAACATACCATGAAAGATTACAGAATCCATTTCAGGCCTTGGAAGGACTTCCACCCGCCTCACAGAGCAACAGCTACCACCACAAAATGAAAGCTCAGGAAGAAAAAGAAGTTAGTGGGTGCAGCGCACCAGCATGGCACATATATACATATGTAACTAACCTGCACATTGTGCACATGTACCCTAAAACTTAAAGTATAATAATAATAAAAAATAAATTAATTAATTAAAAAAAAGAAAAGTAAAACAAACAAAAAAAAAAGAAGCAAAGTAGCTGCTGCTGTCCCACCTTCATTGATTGATTTATCTGACAAGTGCTACCTGTTACTTTATTCCAGGCCCTTTGCTAGTTCTTGGTGATGAATGATGAACAGAACTCAGGCTCTGCCCTTATGGAATCCAGTAGGAAAGAGAGTACAGCAAAGAGATAGTTGTAACACAGCTGGAGGGGGAATTCCTAGGGAGGAACTGGGGTCAGAGAAGGCTTCTCAGACTTCAGAGCAAGGAGGATTTAGCAGGTGGGAGTAGGGGGACAGCATTTCAGACCAAGAGAAGAGCATAAGCAAAGGTTTCTGACTGGCAGAAACAGGGAAAATCTGTGTCATTCACGTGGCTGAGGGATGGAGTGCAGGGAATTCTGAGCCCCCAAGAGAGAACCCCAAGACACCAGCAGAGGTAGAAGCTCACAGGAATCTCCACAAAACATAAACACCTCTCCATGAAATAATGATAATGAGTCCTTAGTTGCAGAAAAGGATTGAGTATCCGGCTATAATCTGGATAGAGACTTTGCAATTTAAAAAATCATTTTCAACGCAAGTGAATTTTATAACTTTTAAAGGCCATATGCCTACATCATTAGAAATCATATGTTTTGGATTTTTGCTTATAGAAGTATGACAGGTGGCTTTCCTTTCACACATTCTAAGGCATTTTCAGGTTTAGAAAACTGGAATGCATAATTGAACAAAATTCCTGTAAATAAACATTTATTTTTCTGTGTCTTTGCAGAAACTAAAAATTCCTCTCTTTAAAATATTACTGCAACATAATTTATCTTTCTGCAGAGAGATACCTAGATCACTTGAGTGTTTAAACATTTTATTTCTGACACAGCCTAGTCTCAATTGTTTTAATAACGTATTTTTTTCTTACTGTATACATATGTTTGTCTAATTACATCCTGGGTACTCTTGAAGTACTTTGAGCAAAAAGAGCAGATGTCAGTGTTTTCCAGCTTTATGTAAATTCTTTTAACATATGTAATCCCCCACTCAACTGTAATTTTTTTGTAATTAAGAAATATTTGAGGCCGGGTGCGGTGGCTCACTCCTGTAATCCCAGCACTTTGGGAGGCCGAGGCGGGTGGATCACAAGGTCAGGAGATCGAGACCATCCTGGCTAACACGATGAAACCCCGTCTCTACTAAAAATACAAAAAAAAAAAAATTAGCCAGGCGCGGTGGCGGGTGCCTGTAGTCCCAGCTTCTCGGGAGGCTGAGACAGGAGAATGGCGTGAACCCGGGAGGCGGAGCTGGCAGTGAGCCGAGATCGCGCCACTGCACTCCAGCCTGGGCGACAGAGCAAGACTCCATCTCAAAAAAAAAAAAAAAAAAAAAAAGAAGAAAAAGAAATATTTGTTGGATGCATCTTATCTATGTTAAACTATGTGTGCCTCATATATAGACTCTGGACTCCTTAGAATAATGTCTATAGTACTGGTGGTTAACCCATCACTTGCCACACTCCAGACATTCTAATGATGGTCAATTTGTCAGGGAAGCAGGAGCCAAGGAGGGACAATGTAATGCCTTTTTAGTTTAGTTCCATTCTGAGACTAGCAAAACGCATGCCTTGCCGGTCATGACCCATATTCATGGGATGTTTGTATTAAAGGAAACAGCTTAAAGGTACCTGCAAGGACACACTCCTACAACAACAGAGAGTCCAGATGTCCCAATACCCATAACAATATATGTTTTGAAGATAATAATAGTTATGCTTTGATGTACTCACACACTAGACGGTCAAGGCTAGTTTTCTTTAAATCAATACAGCAATAAATGTGTCAGGATGCCTGCTTACCTGCACGTAGATACAGCTTAGCTTAGTCTTTACATAGACAAGACCCCTATATAAGGAAAACTTAAAACAAAGCCTGGTGGTTTCTCCTCTTGCTTTCCGAGGGTGCCCTACTCTATAATAAAATAACTTTTAATAAACCCAGTTTTTTCACTGCACTTTGTGAATCACCCTGAATTCCTTCCTTCATGAGATCCAAGAATCTTCTCTTGGATCTGACAAATCCAGTAACAAATCTATTCCAAAACCTGCCGTGCTCTCTTAAATTTATTTTTTTTTAATTTTTTGGGGGGCATTTGGTCAGAACATTATAATTTCCATGGCCTTTTATTTGTTCTTCTTTTAGCCGGTTTCAAGAGTTCCCAAATCCTCAAAGTAGCAAGGCGACAGGAAGCTTACATTTAACCACATCTATAAATTGTATTCAATTTTTAAAAACACACAGGGTGTTAAAATTCTGTGATGCCTTTAATTATTCCTTATAGTCACACAACTGAAACTTCCTGTAGAGTAAAATGAGCTCATTGGTCGTAAAACAGCTCAAAAACTGAGTGTTCACCATGTTCATGGTGCTGTCATTTAAAATGGAATGCTCTATTTTATTTTTTTTTGTCATCTATATTGAGGTATAATTTACATACAACAAAAAGGAAACATTTTAAGTGTGTGCTGACAGGAGCATCATCATTGTCCATAAGAGTCATCCCAGGTTTCCTCCAACCCCACTCACTCATCTTTCTATCACAATTGCTCAGTTCAGCTGCTCCACAACGTCAAATAGATGGATGCACGCTGTTGCGTTTTTTTTATTTCTGGCTTCTCTTACTCAGCATGTTTTTGAGATTCATCCAGGTTGTGTGTTAGTCCTTTCTCATTGCTAAGTAGCTCTCAGTTATATGAATATGCTGCAATTTTTAAATTCATTTGCTTGTACCTGAACCATTGGGTTGTTTTTGATTTGGGGTTATGTACAAGTCTTGCCACGTACAAGTCTTTTTCTAGAAATAAGTTTTATTTATTTTGAGTAGGTATCCATGTGTGGGATTGTGTGGCCATAATTTTAAATTCACCAACAGCAGCATAGGAGGTCTGCAGTGGCTATGCATTTTCACTAAAAGTATTGTTAGTCTTTTAATTTTAGATATTATATTTGTTATAAACTGGTATCTCATTCATTATGGTTTTAATTTGCAGTTTTCTGATCACCAATGATGTTGAACCTCTTCTAATGTATTTATTGACCATTCTGTTGTGAAGTAGTACCTACTTAAGTCCTTTTGGCTTGTTTGTGTTATTAATTCTTATTGTAAAAATCATTTGTATGTGCTAGATAAATGTATATTTTTCCTCCATGTCTGTGGTTTCTAATTTTATTTCCTTAATGCTGTCTTTAGAAAGGCAGATGGTTTTACTTTTTATGATGTTTAATTTATCCTTTCTAAAAAAATGTATGTTTTATGCTTTTTGTGTTCCATCTATGTCTTAAGAAGTATTATAATTTTAGCTGTTACAATAAGGTCTCTCTAATCCACTTCAAATAAATTTCATAGTGTGAGATAGAGGTTGCTTTTCTTTTTCATACAAGTGTTAAGACACCATTTGTTGAATAATTTATCTTTTTCCATTGAAACGTATTTTTGTCATTGTAAAAAATTCATTGACCATATATGTATGGGTCTATTTCTGACTTTTTTTCTGTTCCACTGATCTATATGTTTAAATTTATACTAACTCTGAAATATCTTGGTTATTGTTGCTTTATAGTAAGTCTGGAAATAATATAGTGTAACTCTTTCAACTTCATTTTTCAAAATTATTTTTGCTTTTCTAGATTCTTTGATATCTACTTACATTTTAGAATGAGCTTATCAGTTTCTGTGGCAGAAATATCTGTCAGGATATGGATTAAAAATGCATTTACTGTATAAATAAATTTGGGTAAGAATTGATGTCCTATTGATACCATTGCCATACTGTATATTTATATTTGGATAGTCTTTTATTTCTCTCAACATTATGTTTTTCATCATAGATGTTATCCATAATTTTGTTAATTATATTTCTTGGTATTTTATGGCATAAACCACTTAAAATTATATTTTCTAGTTGTTTGAATATATTTAGAATTCTAATTTATTTTTTCCAAAGGGCTTGCCACCTAAACCCTTGCTAAATTTATTAATTAATTTTGGCAGATCAATTTTTGATTACTTAGGATTTTATATAGGAACAATAATATAATCTATAAAAAGAGGCTATTTTAGTTCTTCATTTTAAATCTTTCTTATTTTTCTTGCTTTTTTCCACTGGCTAGGAGCTCCAGTGAAGTATTGGCTACAAGTATGTAGAGCAGACTTACTTTCCTTTTTTTTCTTTCTTTTTTTTTTTTTTTGATCTTAGAAGAAAGACATTTGGTCATTCACATGAATTATTTTGTTAGCTATAGTTTTTTTTTTAACATGGCCTTAATCAGATTAAGACAGTTTCATTGTGTTTTTGACAGTTTTTCATGGATAGATGCATAATTTAGTCAAATGCACTTTTTGCATCTATAAGGTGATTATATATTTTCTTCTTATTCTGTTCTGTAGTGAATTACATTGATTGATTTTTGCTACTGAACGAACTTTGCATTCCCAGGATAAATCCTACTTGCTTGTGGTGTATTTTACTTTTAAATATTGTTTTACTTAATTTCTTAATATTTTGATTATGTTTTTATATTATTTAAATCTTCAAGTATATTCTTTTGATATCTTGTGCCAGGTTTTGGTATCAAGGTTATTTGCTCCTATGAAATGAGTTAGGGAACATTTTGTCCTATGTTTTTTTTAAAAAGCTTCTGGAATTGTTATTATTTCTACATAAAATATCTTATGAATTTAATAGTGAACCTATCTTATCCTGGTGTTTCCCTTGACAAAGATTTTGTTGTGAATTCTATTTTATAGTAAGAATACCTGCATGGGAATAGCTGTTTTTATACTATATTTATATTACACAGTATAAATACAGAGAGAATAGCTGAATTTAGGTATGTTTATAAATATAGCTATTCTTATGCAGCTATTTTCTCTCTTTCTCTGAATAATCTTACTAGAGTTCTGACAACTTAATCTCAAAGAAACAATTTCTGCTTTGTTAATTTTTCATTGTGTTTTGTTTTGTTTCATTAAGTTTCAGAAAACCTTTCTTTTTCTACATGCTGCTATTTAAGATAATCAATTTCCTTGTGAGAAATACTTCAGGTGAATATCACAAATACTACCATACTCTGTTTTCACTTTTATTCAGTTCAAAATATATCCTAATTTCTCTTGTGATTTTCTATTTGAAGCATGGGTGATTTTGAAATGTGCTATTTTATTTCTAAGTGGAATTCCTCTGGAGTTCTTATTGTGTTTGATTTAAATTGAAAAAACATGCCAATCCCAATTACTGGAGGATATCTTTTCTAGTAAGACTTCTGCAAATTTCCAATATATTTTTCCTTTTTTCATAGAATATTTAGAAATGTGTTGTTACAGTTCCAAATATTTAGAGGTTTCCTAGAAATATTACTAGTTTCTATAGACAAAATCTTGTTGATCAAACTAAACAGGGTTATCTTATGATATCATTTCATAATTTCTAGAGCAAAATACATCTATTGAAATATAGAAGATATTTTACTGTTAAAGAATTCTATTATATGTATGAGAGCTGCTGTTCTTTTTTTTTTTTTTTTTTTTTTTTTGACAGATTCTTGCTGTGTCGCCAAGCTGGAGTGCAGTGGCGTGATCAATCTTGACTCACTGCAACCTCCACCTCCCAGGTTCAAGTAATTCTCGTGCCTCAGCCTCCCAAGTAGCCAGGATTAAAGGCACCTGCCACTACATCCAGCTAATTTTTGTATTTTTTGTAGAGACAGGGTTTCACCATGTTGGCCAGGCTGGTCTTGAACCCCTGACCTCAAGTGGTCTGCCCCCCTTGGCCTCCCAAAGTGCTGGGATTACAGGCGTGAGCCACCCTGCCCTACCCAAGAGCTGCTGTTAACACCAGAGGTGTAGGCTATCTTGGGTCTGTTTTTAAGGGTCCAAGTTTTGGCTACAACATCCTCTACTGCAAAAACACTGGGTGTACGGTAGTACAAAAAAGGTTTGGTTAAAGTATTAACCAAAATATAAGTAAAATACAAGAAAATAAAATATAATCCACCATTTCTGAAATGGCTGCTCCATACCTTCTGAAGTCTCTCTTGAACCTCAGGAGATCACAGGGCTCCTCGTTCACCCTGACATCTTCACGGCAACAGTGCTCAGTTTGGACACTGAACTGTGGGAAGTACAGTAAATAGAGCACAGTTCACTGTGGGCTGAGCTTCCTCACTGTTGAGACGGCTGTGCTAGTCTCCAAGGCACAGATGCATTCACTGTCCCACGAATAAGATCTTAAGACGGGCCGTGATGCCTCCCACCTGCCTTCACTGCCCTTGATAGATGCCACCCTATCGACACTTCTCAGCATTTTTATCATCCTAGACACATTTATAATGGCATGTACTGCATTATTTTCCTGCACGTTTGACTAATTTTTGCTTTTCTGGATTATGGTAGTGACTCAAAGTATAAACTGAATTTATTTAATAAGAGTAGAAGAACTGAGGATAGGATACTGACATTATTAACATTAATGAAATGGGCAGAGAAGAAGATAGTAAATACGAATCTGAAAGTTATTCCAAGACATACGATGAGTAAGAGTTATTATGTAAAGAGAAGAGAGTGTCATTAAATACTCAACATTGTCAAATGAGTCAGAGAAATCAATTGTATGAAGAGTGACGCATGACTTTTTTTACTTGGCAATTAGAAGATCATGGATTAATTTTCCATGTACGTATTCAATAAAATACAAAGCACAGAAGCTGATGTATAAAGCATTAAGCTATATAAGGCAGTAAATAACAGAACTGATTAGAAAAAATATGGCGCACACTTAAGATGAAAAACTGTAAATCCATTAAAATGAGAATTGTGACAAATTTGTTGAAAAATCAATTTAAACATTGTTCAATTGCTGCTATGTATCTTGAAAGTGGTATAGTGTATTCTTGCTATTTTACTTTATACATTTTTCATGTTTTTCAAAACACCATGCTTGCTAGTATTAAGTTCTGAACGTCATTTCTTCTTTGTTACATCTCTTACTTAATGATAAAGATAATTTTGGCATATTAGTAAACCCCTAGATATGCAACTTTTAGCAGAATGAGCTTTCTAGCAGTAATTCAGATGTCTTAACTCTCCAATTACAATTACCTTTCTTGCCTGGAAGTGTGTTAAGACTTATATTAGATAAGCATCCCTTATGTTTTTCTCCAAAACAATTTTGGTCTACACCATATTTGCACATAGACATTATTTTTCATTCTCCTCCTATTTATTTTTGGCCGAATATTCTCTACTATTTTTAATTACTGGTGACTCAGGAAAGGATAATTTCTAGGCTTATGCCACCAAAGCAGATGCGTATGTTAGAAGAGCTATTTTACTTCGATCAGAAAGTCAGCATTGCCTGCTGAAGATGAAATTAATCCACCTTTTGTAGAAGCTTGATCACATTACCGTAACTCAATGACAAATATCACAGTATGATTATCTGTACTTGAAATTATAAATGTGTAAATCCTTACAGTATTCTATAATTGAAACATTATTCAAAATAATTTTCCACTTAAGTAATCTAAGTTAGTGTGCTTTTATAGTAGATTCAAGAGTCTATGGAATTTTGACCACGCCCTCATGCCCCTGGGTATTAGAATGTCGGGTGCATTAGTATGTTAGTGTATTGGTATCATTGTTGCTAATCCAGCCAGCCCTTCCTTATTTTGCCGTATCATTGCTGTTCTATTTGCACAGAGTGCTGGTGCTACTTTGCATGTTGAGCGTCGACAAGAAAATGACACAAAGCAACTTGCCAGCCATAACTTTACACTTAGTTCCATACATATTTGGAGTTAGCCGATGGCGTTTCAGCAAGCACATATTTTATAGGATGCCTTTAATCATAAGCCACAGCTTTTAATTTTTGTTCCTCTTGCCATGTTATAGATATGGCTGATGACATCTTCCTCCTTGTGGTAGATAAAGAAAAAGCACAAGAAAAATCATTTCCAGGCTGTGGTCTCACAGTGACTTGTGGAGCAAGCCTATAAATAAGGTACTGTGGATAATAAGCATGCTGTTTTCGTATTTTTTAAATCTTCCTTTTAAAATGCATTTTAGAAGGAATAGACCAAGCATGCATGAAATTTATGTAAGTGCTGTTGGCAGAAACATTACATATTTCCCCCTTTCAAATTGAAATTTTGAAACATTAAAACATGGTATTTATGACATAAAGTGAAATGTCTCACTCTATCCAAACATGTATTTCTCAGGCTTTCTATATTTATATAAAAAATAATGTTTCCCTTAACATTTTGCTAGTTTTCTCTCGTCATTAATTATATAAAGAGATCTAATTTAATATTTGCCAATGTTTTATTCACAAATGTGCTTCGTTGAAGAAGTAAATGGTTTAAATATTTTTATGATTTTATTTGGTCCAAACAGGTTTAGACCACCGTTTACCCAAATAGATTTGCTTTTGAAAACTCCAAATGGCAAAAAAGTTATATTTTTAGTATCAACATTTTGGATGTTTAGGGAAAGTTACTATTATATTGATATTGGTATAAATCGCAAATTTTCCAGCAGTCATTTTTAAAACCAGGATTTATTCAGACAGCAAGTAGTAAATTTATTTGAGATGATTATTTATACAAATAAAATATCTCTATTTGTTAAAACCTTAGGTACTGATTCTTATGAAGATGAGAGTCAATAACTCAGAAATAGCCAAATAATATTTGAAGGGAATTGACCTGCCAGTGGGGCCTCACATAATGTTAATCTTGGTTGTATATTAAAATAATGACAGCAATGATAGCTAACATTTCACGAGTAATTACTAACCACAAGGCACTGTAAGTTATGCCTTATATATATTATCTCATTTAATCCTCATAAGCAACTTATGAGGTAGATAATACTATTACCATTTTGAAAGCAGATAAAACTGAGGCTTTACAGATACTACAGATATTGTCCACTGTCATTCCACCAGGAAGTATCAGAAGGAAGTCTCTAACTCTATAACCTGTGGTCTTAGCCACTGTTCTACACAGTCAATGGTGAACAGAGGGGTGGGGTTACAAGACTATGGTACCTGCATGGATCCTAGAGGCTATAAATACATATATTTGCCTGGACAAAACTAACAACACGACAACCTGTAGTTGTTATTGTAACACTTTTCAATTTCAGATCAGGATGTGAGGTCTGACAGGTATCAGTAGCTAAGGGAACAGGCTGGACAGACTCTCTGATACCCTGGCTATCTTACACATTTTTGGGAATAATGATTGTTGTAACTGTAGGTTAAATGTGCTGAATTACAATGAACCAGTCACAACATTACCTTTTCCAAGTCATTCACGAAAGATGTGATGTTAGGTCAGATTGCACATATTTCTTTGGGGCATTCCTAGAATATTGTCCTTATGAAATTCCAATGCTGTATTTAAGAATACATTAAAGAAAAAGAGAGAGCTACCAATAGACTGATGAAGGAGAACCCATTTTGCTGGTGTTATCTGGACGTTGAGCTAAACAGGATGCAGGCAGTTGTATTCTAAAGTCATAACTATAAAACATATAATTTTTGAAATCTAAGCAAAGGCTATATAAATATAATTACTTTCCCTAAACTACTTATTGTCTTATTTCTAACTGTAGTAAGCAATTACCTCTCCAGCTAATATTTACGGAATCCATTTCAATAAGAAACAAGGAAAAAAGTAGAAGATTAATTTTTTTAGCCATACTTAACCTCTCAGTCACATTTTAACATGTCTTCACTGCTCCAAAATGTGGCACATATGCACTTGGAAATAGAAATTGAAGTTTGACTTGGTGGATATGGTCCATATATTAAAAGATACGGTCAGAAAAGGCATTTCTTGAGCTGTATCATTAACTTACTGTGAAGTATAGGGTGTAGACAAATGACTGCTAACGGAGCAGCCTACCTGTGTAACGGAACTTCAGTTTGGTCTGAAAACAATGGTCAGTGTTTGAATGTTGGGGTTTCACACAGGAGAGATGAATACAGTGGCTTTCCAGGGGCCGTTAATATGTGGAGTGGAGAAGCAGTCTAGGAATGGCCTTCTCACCAGGGAAGAGAGAACAGGAGTGTATAACTGTTCATCAACATCAGAACTGAAAGTTTTTGGTAAGGTATTACTTGCTGGTCATCTTCCAGACCCATTTCCATTACCTATTGGCTTTGTGTGGCTGTTTAGATAATGCCACATGAGATGCTCAGAATTTTGGACTGAGAAACCTGCTGATCAGCCAGATATATCCAGCGATCACTGGATTTTCTAAATAATTTCTGTTGTTCACTCTTCATTTCTCTACCTGGCAATCTCAGCAACTACCAACTCAAAGAGGAAGAAGACGTTCATTCCCATAATACCCTTCTTACTTCTCTAGGAAGCTGGTCTTGAATATCCTCAACTGCACAGAATTAGATCATATGACCCACTTAGCCACTTTTAAGGCCAGACATTCCCCCAGAAGAAGGGCCTGGGAACCATGCTCTCCAGCTGCTTCTGACTAGGGTGGTAAGACACACTAGCAGCTCGGTTTCATGTCAAGTGACATGGGCAGCTTTCTTCTAAAGCTTGATTTCACTGTGTGCCAGAATGCCTGTGTGGAACTCTAGTCTCAGAAGCTAAGCTATCAAGTTGTACTTGGGAAAATCCCAGGTGTGATGAAATTCTAATACCAGGGGCAACAAACCATGTCGTAGAGCTGGATAGGGAAAATACTGTCATTGGCAGAGTGAGCACACAAACATTACCTTGAGTCTGTCTTCGGTCTCTGGGGCTTGCTTCCTCATGGTTTTTCTATAGTGTGTTTTGTTATAGAAATAACTGCACATGACCTAAACACGTGTTTAGGGAGGACTGCTGCTCTCTCCACTGCCCCCAGGGTATGTTGTTGGATAGGTGATCCCTAGTAAATCCTGCTGTGGAAGAATATTAGAACATATTTCATGGATGCCTAAAGATAACGATGCTCCCACAACGTTATGTGAACATGTTCCTCACGGATAGGAAAGGGAATAGGGAAAGAACAAAGGATGTGGGGTCAGGGGCCCATAATGGAGGTTCAACTTTCAACTACTGAGTTTGAAATCCTGAATTCATCATTTACTTAAGAGAACTAAGAGTTAAGTAAGAAATTATCAAGCTCTCCTTTTATTAGCAGGGTTCTTTACTGCTATCGAAAGATAGAGATGCATGTAAGAAACTTGAGATTAAAGAGAAATAAGGTCACATTTTTGCAGATCCGAGTTAGAGCTCTAAATTTTGTTTCCCCTTAAATATTGCTTTTGACTGATTCTCTTCATGTGTGGGTAGAGTATCTTATAGTTCTGTATGTGTATTTTTATTTGTTCTTTTTCAGCTTCTGAAAATATTTCATTATGGCTTTTCAAACAATTCTCCAATATTTATTCTGAGCCTATTATGTACAGTAAGATACAATCATTAACTTTAAGAAACTTACAGTTCAGTTGAGGGGTCAGAACTTATGTGTATATAATCATACAACAATGTAATATAAATGCTAAATTTGTGACACAGACTAATAATGTTAAAGTATTGTAGTTGAGAGTTAACTGCAAATTGCTTGGGATGTCTAGAATAAAAAAACTTGGAGCTTATGGGATGCATGACATATGATACACTGCCAATAATAATAACCATTGTTAATGGTAAAAAAAAAATATGTGTGTGAATGTGTGTAATTTGGCTCCATAGACTTGCATCGAGAGAAGAAGGAGAGGTGAATGGGGGGAAATATCAGAATGATGACTCATACAGTTGTTGCAGCAATTAAGAGATTAAGAGGGATGTTTCATTGTTATAATGGAAAGGGGATAGAGAATTAAAGAGCTCTGCTTACTGTCATGATGGATTATATGCACGCAGCAGAAGAGGAAAGAAGTACCGCTGACAGGAAGACCTAGGGTCTTTTTTAGCCAGAGGTCTCTATAGACATGCCATCAATAGTAATGGCAACCGCAGTGTATCATCGTGACGATGTGCTTAATCAGGGCTCAGGTGTTGAGGATGTAGACTTGGGAGAGCCCCTTGTTGGTGTGCTTAAGGCATCCTGGTTTCAGTCAGGTCAGGTCCCCTCACCTAATACTGGCCTGAGGCCCAAGACCAAGATACAAGGACTGAGGCTGGTAAGTGATTTGAAGCAGTGCCTGATATTCATGCAAGAAGCTAGAAATGTCAGTTGCTGCTTGAGGTAAACATTTGTTTTCCAGAGTAAATGTTACAGCTTCTGCTTCTCATAACAGTGTCATTCAAGCATGTGTCTAAAGGACAGCAAGACATCATGGAAATAGCTTTCATTCTTAATCCATATTTGTGTTAAACTATAGAATCATTTAATCCACCAGCTCATTGTGATCATCAAAACAGAGAAGCTGCAAAATATTTCCTTCATTATAAAAATAAAACCAAGTGCTGCTCTCTGCTTCAGATTCCTTTTGAATACTAATGCATAAAAGCCAAGATTAAATTAATCTCAGCTGTCTCAGTCACACTTGGCTAATGAATCATAAAATAGTTTCATCTTCGTATGACAAGTTGCCCTTGATGGCAAATTAAAATCTTAATAAGGGTTTTTAAAATACGCATGCATATATACATGCACAATCTCTTTCATTAGAGCCCAATGTCAAAATACAAATTCTTGCTTTGCATTTCAGATATTGTAAACTTTTGAGAACATCTTCTAGATCTTTTTATCTGGTGGCTTCAAATTCTGTGTATGCAAATGCCTTTAACTTAACCTTCGAAATAATTGTTTTGGAAATCTTGATAGAGTTATTGGATAGTGGTTTGTTTTTAAAAATTATATGTATGTCATTTGTTAACTACTTACTTAAATAATGCAAAAATTAATGGTATAATTTTCTACCTCCCATGCTTCCTCAAGAACGGTGGCTTCTTTGGGGCCATGATGTAACGGAGATGTCAGAGACCAATTACAGAGGCAGATTGCCGCAGTGCTAGGGAGGAGAAAATTTTGGAAAAGGAGATGAAATGAATAAATAACAAAAGCAGTAACAGCAAATTAAACTTTAGCTTGAATTTTATATAGCACGTACTGGTAAAAATATTGTTTCAAATAACAGTGGCTGTATGGAACAGTGCTTCTCAAACTTTCATATGCACACACACCACCCGGAAATCTTGCTAAGTGTAGATTCTTACTCAGTAGATCTCAGGTGGAGACAAGAGTGCATTTCTAACCAGCTACCTGTGATGCTGATGTGCCTGATCCATGGGAAACATTTTGACAAGCAAGGCACAGCATAACGCACATGTAAATAGAATATTTTATTTTGTTGAAGATATAAATCCAATTTTAGAAAAAGGTGTATCTAAGCAGGTAGTTATAGTTTTTCTACATATGGCAAATTAGCCGGCTAACTTCAAATACCTTTTTCTGCCTACCTTTGAATTCTCTTTCTTGGAATTCTCAACATTGGCTTAATCTCATATGAGATTTGACTCAAGGGATTCCTAATGAGACATATTAGTTTAGTTGTTTTTTTAAAAGAAAAGTGAGAAAAATGGCAAAATATAAATTAAGAAGAAAAGCATAATTTTAAAATGATTATTACTTTTTTATTTGATTTGTTGGCTGGAAAAGGGTATGGCATTTTATATTTCTCAAAGTGGATTTAAAACAAGATTTAGAATATTACATCTAATTCTAACAATTTACTAATCATCAATAATTCTTACTTAAGCACCAAATCTGATGCTCACTGGAACAAGTATGTATTCAATTGTAATAATGTTTATGCCAGGTTAAAACTCCAATCCAAATGCCAAGACATTTAGAAAACTAAATTCTTAGATGTTATCTCAGGACTTTTTTTTCTCTTTTTCCAAAGAGAGAACAATGTTATTGATGCACTGACCTTTCTCCCAGATTCTAAACTCAAATGATTGTTTAAAAAGCAAAACTCTTACAGTCAAACTGCATACTTATTGTTTGAATGCTTCATAGCAAATCTCTTTAATAGATGTATTAGAATAAAATGTTTGTTGCACATCAATTCTATTATCCTTTTTTGTAGAATGCAGAGCCGAGGTACACTGTGACATCCAAGACTGCTGCCGGTTCTAGAAAAGCCGAATATAAGGAACAGGAGTCCGTTAGGGGCTTCTTTTATAGATGAGTCATATAAAACCATATGGAAAGACCCGAGGAAGATTTACCCATTGTTAAATTTAAATTCCTTTGAGTTATGGGAATTTAATTTTAGAAATATATACTTGGATTATGATATTTTTGCCTAGTGTGACAATACAAAGTGATAGGACTCAAACAAAAGATTCCTAACAACAGTAATATGCTACTCTTTCATTAGAAAACTATGAATCAGTGACTTTTAATGTGACATAACTGTTTTTATTGCAAAATATTTTCATATATTAAGTGTCAAATGACTATCACCTAAAACAAATTAAATTTTTACACATTTAAAAATTACGGGCATTACGTATTTTAAAATAAACTTTTTATTTTAGAGTGGCTTTAGGTTTATAGAAAAATTGTAACAATTAGAGGGTTTCCACACATCCCCCACTGTTTCCTCCTTCTGTCATTAGCATCTGATCTTAGTATGGTGCATGTGTCACAATTAATAAAGCAATATCAACATATTATTCCCTAAAGCCCCTAATGTATTTAGATTTTCTTGTTTTTTACCTATGTATTTATTTAATTTTTCTGTCCCAGGATCCTACCCCACCCAGGACACCATGTTAGTTACAGTTATTATGTCTTTTTAGGCTTCTGGCTATGACAGCTTCTCAGATTTTGTTTCTAATGACCTTTTTTGACGGTTTCAAGGAGTACTGGTTAGATGTTTTTCAAAATATGCCTAAACTTGAATTTGTCTGTTGTTTTCTTTTTTCTCATTATTAGACTGAGGTTGTGATTGTTGGGAATAAGATTACAGAGGTAAAATGCCATTTCTATCACATCAGTACTGGCTATTTGCTGTTATTGCTAACATATCACTGTTGATGTTAGCTTTGAACACCTGGTAAGGTAGGGTTTTTCAGGGGTTTCCATGACAAAGTGTCCGATTTTGTCCACTTTTCCACTCTGTATTCTTAGAAAGGGAAGTCATGGCTGGACGCGGTGGCCCAGGCCTGTAACCCCAGCACTTTGGGAGGCCGAGGCGGGCGGATCATGAAGTCAGGAGATCGAGACCATCCTGGCTAACACGGTGAAACCCTGTCTCTACTAAAAATACAAAAAATTAGCCGGGCATGGTGGCGGGTGCCTGTAGTCCCAGCTATAGCCTGGGTGACAGAGCAAGACTCTGTCTCAAAAAAAAAATAAATAAATAAATAAAAAATAAAGGGAAGTCACTATGTAGCCATTGCCACACTTAAGAAGTAGGGAGTCCTGTTCCAACTTTCTGATGGCAGAATATCTACAATGATTATTACGAATTATTTTGCATGAGAGATATGTCTATTCTTCTTGTTAATTGTTAATATTTACTTGTTAATTCATTCAGCTGTTGATATCAGTATGGATTCATAAATATTTATTTTATATTTTGGGTTATGACCCAATAGTATGTGCTTTATTTACTTTACTTATTTAAGTTTTTCCGTCTCTGGCCATTGGGAGCCCTTTCAGTTCTCTCTTGGGTTCTTCCAACATACTCATAGCATTGTGGGTTTGTTGTTCTTTTGTTTGTTTTTAAACTTTCTGACCTTCTGGCACTACAGTGATGCTAGGGCTTATCTTGTAAATTACCTGGACCAGTCCTGGACTCAGACATTTCTTCAGTAAGTCCTGGTTCCTTCCACTGGAAGATGGTATTAGAAACCAAGATCTAGGTGCTAGGTATGGAGGCTGCTATTGGTGGGTCATTGCTTCTAGGTCCTCTCAGTTGACACAGCACAGAAATGCAGGTGTGTACACTATCCCATGTATGTACGTGTGTCTGTAAATGTAATATTTTAATATATAAACATGTGTTTACCAAAACTGAATTAATAACATGAAGCTGTGTGCAAGTTCATACTGAGGCCTCCACCTCAACTCATAAGGATCATTGTAGCTGGCTCCTCTTCACTATCTATAACGTCCCACTCCTGAAATGAACACCAGGGTGGCAGCAGCTACCATCGATATACTTAACTGCTCAATATAAGTTTACATGCATAGTGGTTTCCCTAGTGGGAATCAACTTTATCAGCCAGACTGCAGGACTTAGGGACAGTCCCTTACAGACAAGTCTCATTTCAAAAATTACTCAGATCAGCACCTCTTTCCTCCATCCCCTTCAGGGAGGTTGTTTTATGCATTTTTAATATAGTTAAGTAAGACTTTTTCGTCAGATGTATTCTATGCTGGGCTCCCCTGACCTCCTAACTGATTTATTTTAAGCTTACATGCAGCAAGGTTTTACTCTTTGAGCTGTAATTTTCTGTGGGTTTTGACAACGACATGGTGTCATGTACTTATCATTACAGTACCATAAAGTTTCACTGCCCTGAAAATCCCCACACACTTCACCTACTCTTTTATTCTCTAACTCTGCCCTCTTTCTGACCATGTCTTATCTTTTTACAACCTCTATAGTTTTGCCCTTTCCAGAATGTCATAGAAATGGAATGGCACACTATGCAGTCTTTTCAGACTGGCACCTTTCACTTGGCAAGAAGCACTGAAGATTCACCCATGTCTGTGTAAGGCTCTGTGACTCATTCCTTTTTATTGTTGAGAAGTATTCCATGGTGAACCACAGTCTGTGTATCCATTCAAGTACTGAAGGACGTATTGGTTAATTTCTGTCTTGGGAAATTATGAATAAAGCTGCCATACATACTTGCTTGCAGGGTTTGGTCTAAACATACTTTTCAGATCAGTTGTGTCAATACTTAGGGGCATGACTACTGGGTCATATGGAAGACTATGATTAGTTTTATAAGAAACTGCTTAACTGTCTTCCAGTGTCTGCGACATTTTGTAGTCACCAACAATGAGCAAGAGTTCTGCCGGCTCTGCTTTCCTGCCAGGCATTGCTATTTTGGTGGGTTTAAGAATAACAATAGATGTGTAGTGAGTTTTGCCACTAGTTTAATTTATATTTCCACAATGACATATAATATTGAGCATCTTCGTCTTTTCGTGTGATACTTTTACCCTTGCTGAGGTATTCGTTCAAATTTGCCCATTTCTTTTCTTTTTTCTTTTTTCTTTTAACAGACTCTTGCTCTGTCGCCCAGGCTGGAGTGCAGTGGTGTGATCTCAGCTCACTCCAACCTCGACCTCCCTGGTTCAAGCAATTCCCCTGCCTCAGCCGCCTGAGTAGCTGGGATTACAGGAGCATGCCACCATGCCTGGCTAATTATTTATTTATTTATTTATTTATTTATTTTTAGTAGAGACGGGGTTTCACCATGTTGGCCAGACTGGTCTCAAACTCCTGACCTCAGGCAATCCATCCGCCTCGACTTCCCCAAATGCTGGGATTACAGGCATGAGCCACCATGCCCAGCCCCATTTCTTAATTGAGGCATTAGTTTTCTTATTGTTGAATTTTAAGAGTGTCGTATATATTAGAGTCAAGTGTTTTTATCACATATGTGTTTTGCAAATAGTTACTCATTTTCTTGGGCTTCCATTTTTATTCTGTTAAATGCCATTTGCAGAGCAGACATTTTTAATTTTAATAATGCCTGACCTATGAATCTTTTTTTGAGTGTGAATGGATCATGCTTTTGGAGCTGTATTTAGAAACTTTTATCAAACAGAAGGTCAGGTAGATTTTCTGCATTTTCTTTCAGAAGTTTTGCACCTTTGTATTTTACATTTATGTTTATGCATCATTTTGAGTTAATTGGTATTTTAATTTTTTATTTCCATAGGTTATTGGAGAACAGGTGGTATTTGATTACATCAGTTTTTTAGTGGTTATTTGTGAGATTTTGGTGCACCCATCACCCAAGCAGTATACACTTCACCCAATTTGCAGTTTTTTATCCCTCACTTCCTTCTCATCCTTTTCCCCTGAGTCCTCAAAGTCCATTATGTCATTCTTATGCTTTTATATCCCATTTTGAGTTAATTTTTGTGAAAATTGTACAGTCTGTGTCTAGGTTTTTTTTTTTGGAAATAGGTGTGCAACCGTTCCAACATAATTTGTTTAAAAAGCCTGTGTCTTCATTGAATTACCTTTAGGCCAACATAAAGAATTAAGTGAATGTGTTTGGATCTATTGCTTGGCTTCATATTCTGTTCATTGATGAATGTGTTTATTCTGTTTTTGAAACCACGCTGTCTTGATTACAATAAACTTTATAGCGAATCTTGAAATTGGATGATTTGAATCTTCTAACTTCATTCTTCTTCATTAGAGGACAATTCTAGATTTTTTGCATTTCTTCATACTTTTGAATCAGGCTGGTGATATCTAACAAATAACTTGCTGGGATTTTGAACATGAAATATTTCTTCATTTATTTAAATGTCATTTGATTTCTTTCATCAATTTTGTAGTTTTCCACATGTAGATACTTAAATATTTTGTTAGATTTGTTCTAACAAAAGAGTTCATTCTTTTGGTGCAATAGTAAATTGTATTCCTTTTTTACATTTTACATTCCAATTGTTTACTCCTAGTATACAAAATAATTATATATGTTAATATTGTTCCCTGTGACCGTGATATACTCATTTGTTACTTATATATATATATTTTTTAAATCTACAGAGTCATTCATGTGACAGTTTTATGTCTTCCTTTCCCATTTGTATATTTTCAATTACACTTTTTTGTCTTTTTGTGCTAGTTAGCATTTTGGGCATGATGTCAAGTGAAATCGTATGGGAGGACATCCTTGCCATTTCTAATCTTAAGGGAAAGTCATTAAGTTTCTCACCATTAGGTATGATATTAGCTGTAGGTTTTTGGTAGATATCTTCTTATCAAGTTGAAAAGGTTCCCCTCTATTCCTAGTTTGCTGAGAATTTTTATTTTGAATGGTTGTGAGGTTCGTCAAATGTTTTTTCTGCATCTATTGATATGAGCATATGATTTTTCTTCTTAGCTTGTTGTCATGATGGATGACATTGATTGATATTTGAATGTTGAATCATTCTTTTGTATACTTTACTTCAGGTATGAAATGATCCCACTTGGTTGTAGTGTATTTCAAAAAATACATTGTTGGCTTTGACTCACTAATATTCTGTTGAGCTATAATTATAAGACATGTTGGAGTCTAGTTTATTCTTCTGTAATGATTTTAATCTGGCTTTGGTGTTAAAGTAATTCTGGCCTCATAAAAGGTACTGGGAAGTATTCCTTCTGCTTCCATTTTCTGCAGTGAAGTTTATAAAGTTTAACCTAATTCTCCTGGTTTTAATGCCTAAGCATCACCCACCACTGTGCCTCACATGTCCCAGTGTATAATCTCTCTGAATCAATTTCTTTCTGTGTTGGGGAGGTATGGTTACTAGTCTCAGATTAATGGCTACAAATATACAGTTTGATAAAATAAATAAGACTGATAGATTAGTAGGCTGATTATAGTCTACAATAATTATTGTATATTTCAAAATATCTAGAAAAGAATAATTTAAATATTTCTAGCATAAAGAAAAGACAAATATTCAAGGTGATAGGCATCTTAATTGCGCTGCTTTTATCTTTATTGATTACGTGAATGCAATAAATTATCACATGTATCCTGAAAGTGTGTACATCTATTATACATCAATTAGAAAACATTTAAAAACTCAGAGAAGGAATCCTGGATGCCCGATCACTATTTATTCCACCTGTCAATTGGCCCTCCTGGTTTTGAACCCCATCTGATCACTGCATTTGCAAAACTCAGAACCTCTCGTTTTTTATCTTTCCCCATTCTTCAGTGAAAAATTCTCTTAGGATTCAGCTTCCTTTGTTCCGCTAAGTCGGTTTCCACCATCCCGCCCAAATATTTGTTAATGTATCTCATCCACTGCAGCCTCTCCTTTCAGTCACCTGTCTGTGAATTTATACTTCTTCTCTATAATTTCCTTAGGATTTGTGGAAGGAGCAGACATAGGCGAGCATGTGTCTAATCTACTACCTTTACCCAGAGTTTCTATAATTTATTTGCTTAGAAATGTTATGAAGCTTTTACAAAATCATATGACATCCATAATGCATTATTTAATAGAGCAGAACCTTACATTTTATGAGTTTATCGTTCACGCAAAAGTAATAGAAATCTGAAGGAGACTTGAAAGGCTTGAGGCTGAAAAACATCTAATTTATGGAATTTGAGAATTGTAGCATCTCTGGGGTAGAGTTGGGTGTTTCTCTTTGTGGCAGATCTTCTCCTTACTCTGGAATAAAATGATTTGATGAGTAAGTATAGTTTCATACACATGGTGAAGTTTCAGTATAAACTCATGCAGGATTGAGGTTGGAGCCTAGTCATTATTCTTGGTACAAAGGATTAACCCAAACGCAGTTTCTTCATTCAGAGCTACTGTACATTTATTTAGAAATGGAAATTGGGTATATAAACAAGGCAGCATCTTTGTACAATAGAGCATTTTACCCCTAATTTTAGATTTGAATTATTCAATGAAGAAACATGAGGCATATGCTTCCGGGAATGTGGAGGTACATGATCTCCACTCAATGCTCTGAAGAACATTCCATGGCAAGGACGTGGCTTGACTAACATGTCCAACTAACGATGCGCTCTTCTTTAGAAGGTTGTTTAAGAGTGGATAAATATGACTTTGGGGAAAATGGAATATTTCATTTGTGGTTTTTGGTGACCAAACCATTTCTGAGTTTCCGCTTTCCTCTTAAGTAAATAGCTATGTTTATTGTCAATTAATGTGGAGCAGGAAAGAAGACAGCACCCAGATTTCTGCCATTGTTTTGAGAAAGGATATTGGCAGGTTTTCCCAAGCCATCTCCTCCAACCCTCCTTGACACCCTTTGTCCTGGGATCTGGCTCAGTGGACACAGTTATGGGGGGTGGCACATATTCTCAGAGGATAGGAAGTTTATGGGGAAGAAGGGGAATGAAACCCACATCCAGAGACAGAATTATCTGAAACTTTAACATTCAGGGACTCTTGTTTGATAAATCCCTGCAAAATCCTGGGAGAGGCTTCCTCCTTGGCAATATGTTTCATAAGTCATGTTTTATAAATGGCTGCTTTTTATAGAAATTTATTTAATGAAGTAGAATCAGATTTTCTTCTGATTCAAAACCCCAGGAATGGATGAGTCATATGCCCATTTCCTACTCTAACTGCTCTCCTTTCTCCGCTGGAACTTTCTCAGCCAAAAGCATCATTTGGAAGAAGCAAAAACAATCTTATCTAAATGGATGTGTGCAGAGAGGACTTTGTATTTACAAATAATTTGTTTTATTTTCTGCTTCCTGTAGATGGAGCTAAATCCTTAAGCATATGTTTACATGTGATGGAATTCCCAGGAAGGAGATCTTTGAAAGACAATAATAATATCTGCTGCTGAAGGCTTTTAATTCTTTGGACAATAAGTGGTGCTACACTGGGCACAATTTGGTGCTAAAGAAAGAAAGTTATTTGTAGGCAGAATCCTGTACCTGCCTCCTAGTCTCTGCAGAGAACAGAGAGTTTGTTGTTGAATAGAAATGGCCAGCAGTGTTACTATTGCTGTATTTTGTATTTTATCTAAGGTCATATTCAACTTCTTTTTTTTCTCATAAAAAATTAAACTGTTAAACTGCCCATTATCCATTGTCCTTTTACACGGGTGTTTCCTGGTCTTGTCTGTTGCTCAATGTGATTGAATGACCATGTATGACAAATAGTAATGAGCTCATAGTATTTCCCTTAGTCAGTTAATAAACAGTGCATATCTTTGGAAGAAGAGACACACTTTATTACTTCCCCATATGGTTTCAAAGGGATGTGAGAGCACAATGAGTCAGGCCAACAGGAAAACTTAAAAAAAGAAACGGAAAAAAAAGTTTTTAAAGAATCTTATTGTGTTTCTCCCAAGTTGCTCATAGCAACTTGTTTATTAATTCTAGAAATAGGCAAAGAAATTTTATACCTTAATAAGAAAAGAAAAAGACAATATTTTAGGGAGTTTAAATAATATTTATATGGAAAACAATTTTATTAAGTGAATTCACATATGTCTTAAGTGCTTTTTAGTGTATCCAAGACAGCATTAGATACATGTTACTTCTTAAAAAAATAAATGACCCCTCAAAAAGTTTTTAAGACATTTTTCTATTT
This sequence comes from Homo sapiens, assembly GCF_000001405.40. NCBI lineage: Eukaryota > Metazoa > Chordata > Mammalia > Primates > Hominidae > Homo > Homo sapiens. Next base: position 4,770,526 of record NC_000010.11, on the reverse strand, counting down.
TTTTCCAATCAGCTTCCATTTTTGTAACTAGTATACTAATTCACGGCAAAGTAAAAACAAACCAATTATAACATAAAATATTACTTTGAGATATTTTGATTATTTTTAAACGTCATAATTATTTGAAATCAGAAAGCAAAAAATGCTGGAATCAAAGTTAATTTCAGCCTCCAAATGTTTAAACTGTGTATTAAAACCTCTCTCATCTTATGTAAATTTTAATTCTTTAAAGTTGTGACATTTTCAAAAATCAAATATATATTTTATTTGGATTAATACATAATCTTGCAGAATGAGTTTATTATAATTTTATTCATATATGAGCTTTAAATTTATATCCCAAATAATTCTCAGAAACATTGGAGTACTCAGTTTTGTAGGTTGGTTAGCATTTTGATGTATCATTTACTATTAGTTTTTAGAGGTTAGAGCATCAATGAAAAGAAATATTGGTAATATAGAGGCAAGTTCTGAAATCTGTGGTTTCCAAGTCAACATTCAGGATTATTCTTTTAAAAAAATATAATTAAATTTTCTCAAAGTTACATTTACTATATTACAAATAGTCTCTTGTTTTGATTTATTAGGAAGACGTTAACAGCATATTCTTTTTTATGCAGTTTTCTTAAGACTCCATTAAAACAAATGGCTTTCCGGTCCGTGCCCCCTTCCAGGTCAGCTAACAATTTTATATTGATTTGCAAAAGAGGCTCCATTATAAAAACCTTTTGTAATTATCTAAATTCCATGTGTTTAGGAAGCTTTTGAACCATCCAGGAATAAGCTAATTTCCGTAATGGTGAGAAAGAATTGTACAGTGGATACAATAAATGCTTGTCTACTTACTTAGGCTTGTGTTTGAGTCTGTAAGTGCATGATTTGCTAATTTTGTTAAAAAAATAGTAAAAATTCTAATCTTCATTTGTATTGTTTCCTATATAAAAAAGCAAACCATTAGCAATTATAGTCCTATTTCTTAGTCATATACTGTCAATCAGCTATCTTGAAGATGGAACTGGGAAACCAGAACTTATATTCAACATGATAAGGAAATTTGAATTCATTTTATATACTATAAAGTTTATAAAAGTTATTAATAAGTAACCATAAGAATGGATTAAAAAATATTTAAAGCATACCAATTGACAGATTTGTAAATATCATTGAAAAAGTCAGAGATAACTTGGCCGAGATATCTATAGCACCTTTACACTTTAAAATTTTAATATCAATATGCCTTCTTATGAGTTATGTGTTTGCATATTGACTGTGTTCAAATTTGTTATTTCAAATTCCCCTTTGTTTAGGACTCTTGAAAGCACACAGGACTAACTGAGTTAGGGCAATGGGCTTCCAGTGCCCTCTTGGCTGTCACCTTATTTAATAAGGCCTGGCTTGTGCAGTCACTAGTTGGATTGGATTATGTTCTTCCTGACATTTCCATTCACTCTGTTGCCCAGCCCTAAATATGTTAAGCAAGATGAGCTATCCTGGGGCCAGGATGATTTTCCTTCAAAAGCATCCTCATCAGATTTAAATATTTACTGCTTTCCCCCATATCAAAGTCAATTAAATAACTTCTCATACAATTTATGAAAGCCAAAAAGCAATCTAGAAAGGAACACATCCAAACCCATTGACTCCATTGTAGAAAGAGAAATGAAAACGTGGGTTTCACTGGAGTGTTCTGGCATGGAAGTAGTGTCTCTTGTTGACTTTAGGAATCCTGGAATGTGGCCCTAGGAAGGAAAACCCTTGAACATTAAGGGGCCCCTTAATGAATTTCTCTATTTCTCTATGATCTTTCTTTAGTTCCATAGCCCCCACCTAAGTAGAGGGTGAGGTCAGAGGGAATAAAGAAAGACATAAAGCAAATTATGCTGTCGGCTATCCAAATTGTACAACCTTATTCATGCTGATTATGTATTGCAGGCATATGCAAAAATAAGTTTGCATATCCTGAGCATATCCGACCTCACCTTTGTTGTGAATAAATCACAGACTGTCCTGGATTCCAGAAGAGTTCCAACCAGTGAAGCTGGCATTCCAGGAGAATCCTCTGATTCTTTTGGCAAAACTGAGTCAAGAACATATTGCCAGTTCTTCCTGGGCTCAACTAAATGTGGATTCCATTCACAATCACTTTTGCTTTGCATGTTGTGTACGCTTATGACCATCATGTTTATCAGCAGTTCCAGAGGGCAGCTGCGAGGTTGCTTCCAAATATTGCAATATGATTCCATAATGTTTTGTAGAATTTGGAATCCATTATTCTCATATTCAAGGACAGGTTTCAGATTTCAGCATTGAAAGATGTCTTCCCAGTTCTTTCATTGCTTTCAGGGTGCTCAGCTCACATGGCCTGAGACAGGAATTGTGCAGCCTCCACAGCCACCTAAACTATAGACTTTCTAGAGGACTCTACAAAAGCCTGTTTCATGTGCAGCATGGTGGAAGAATACAGTTAACTTTTTCAATACTAGAACCATAAAAATCACTGAAACTATATTACCTTTTTGTTTATCCTAAAAGAGACAAATATTCACCCTATCTAGAAACACAGAACATCTTCAAATGCACCTCTGCGTTGTTGAAAAAGGCATGTTTTGGGGAACTTTAAAGGTGTTGAATAATGAAGAATTCTTTTATTTATTCCTTTGATAATTCTACTAAAAGTGCATTTTTTAACAAGAAGACAGTTTCTTTGTTCTTTGTTCATTAACATTGCTGTATTCAACATAACTTTGAATCAAATTATCCCTTTCACAAAACTGCTCACGTTGTTTCCTGTTCCTTGGCACGATGAAGCCATGCATATGTATGACGCGTCACCAAGTGTCATTTTAGGAAAGACCCTGTTAGTGTGCCTATGGAGAGAAGCAGAGTTAGAGTATTGTAGCCATGGAAGCCACTTTACTTTGCAGCCTTTAGCTTCCTGGAGGGAATCTGGTGATGGGAAAGGAATTCCATTTTGCATACTACATTGTTAGCGTGCAAATGCTCCACTTATTTATATCATTCAATTCAATCTGGACATCTTACTTTAAAAATGTATATCTCAGTCCCTCTTTGAAGAAAAATATGATGAAAATATATGAATTAGAGCTCACAATTTTACATTATTTGTAGATCATAATAACGATCTTGGCATTTGTATTTACCTTACATAGAGATGGGAAAACATTTTGGAAGGTTTTTTGGAGCAATAGGAGAGGGGAATGAAATATCCCATTAAAACAGGAAGGACATTGCTGTCACCTAATCAGACAGCCTCAGGACTACCAGCAGATGGTGCAACAACCTATTTAATCCTCAGCATTATCAGAAAATAACCAAGAATGGCATCTTTCTTTGCTAATTAATTCTGAATACTCCTAAAAAATTATGACTTTAATGATAATAGCATTTAAAACGATAACCATAGAATCTGTAATAATTTTTTAATAATTATACATAATATCTGACTTTTTGAACTAAAAGAGACTTTAGAACTCTCTGGTCCAAGCCTTCTGTTTAACAGCTGAGGAAACTCAAGTTCTTAAGTTTAAACTTCAACCACCAGCTAAGGAGGGTCGTGATGAGTCTTGGTCATATGACAGAACCCATCGCTCATTGATTCAGCAACATTATCCCTCAGCAAATACGATTTCTAGCCCAATAATCAAAATTTGATGGGGTGGCGGATGGCATTTGATCATCCAAGTTAAGATTTTTCAGCAGATGTTTATCTGTGGAGACTCTTCTATTGTAAGAACATTCATAGTTTTAGAAAAGAGGCATTTTCTGGGAGAACATGCTCTCCTGTCCTCTCTGTTTCCAGCTGCAAACTAACGTGTCATTTTGCCAAATGCTTCCTGTCTAGCTTCTGGCTATTTCTGAGAGAGAGAGAGAAGGTGGGGGCAGGGGGAGAAAGAGAGAGAGAGAGAGAGATTTTTTTTTACACATTTGCTTTGTACTAGGAAAATATTTCTTATACAGTCAACAATAGCATATTAATGGGGATGATTTAAGGAGCCCAAGCTTCTATTCTGTTGCCAGAATGCCAACGGGAATGTATGCTACTTTTCAAAAAATAGGTGTTGACAATAGCCTGCAGTATTGCACTGTAGTCAAAGAAGAGTGCTGAAAGCTTCAGTTCATAAAAATGCTTGATTCATCAAAAATAATCACCTCACCTGATAATTGAAAGCTACAGAGAATTATTATGCAGCCGTGGACTCTCAAAAATTTATTCATTTTTGGTAATTAACATTATTTCTTCTTGATGATGTTGCTAAATGGCTTGAACCCAGTCTGAAGAACCATGCATGATCATTTATGCTGAAAAGAAAAGAAATTAGAAGCTTTTGTTGCACAGGTAAGAAAAGATAAATTTCTGAAAACCAAAATGTCCTACCAGGTCTATCCATATTTGTTTTATTAATGGGTAATGCTTTCTATTAGCTAATGAAAAGATGATGGTAGTTTAACAGTGGAATAACTTTTAATATATCATAATCAGAGAATACAAGGTAAGCAAAATTACAATCCAATGTCTGATTAGAAAAAAAAATTATTTTATGGAATTAAAAAATATTATTTTATTAAATAAAATATGGTTTTCTTTTGAAAGTATGTGGAAATCAAATTGCTAAGATCAATGCAACCATTTAACTGAGTTTCATTTTGACAAAAGGCAATCTGTGGCGATATTGCTTTAGAAGTAAGATGAAATGCATAAATTCAGATAAAACATTTTGCCGATTGCCTGGCTGAAATAACTGGTTATTATTATTGTTATTACCATTAGAAGACAAAAAAATGGTCTCCCAGTTTTCAGCATATGCTACTCTTAAGTAGAAGGACCTTTAACAAAAGCTAAGTGTCCAGGCCTTGGTTTACTCATCAAAGCAAATGACCACATCAGATGTTCCCTGGGAGCCTTCTGACATTTAGCATTTGGTGATTTTATCATCTCACTCCAAGTAAAGGAAGCAGCAAAACCTCTCTGATTGTATTTTGAGGTCTCTGCATAAATAACTGTAAAGCATATTTGACCACATTATGAGAAAATTTGTAAAATAAATTTTATTTGGAATGCCTACTTGAACTGGAAATTAACAATTAGAGGACATGACTTCCCTGATGTTTACCTCATTAGAAAATGTCTTGGACAAAACGCTGGCAAAAATCTTCTCTTGAAAACAATCCTTTATTATTTAAAAGGTGGAATTTATGCCCCCCAAATTTATCTTTCTAATGATATTTAACCCATTTTGCATAGCTCGTGTTTTCTTTTGTCCAATGTTTAAACTAGCTTTTATTTTTTTAATGATTAGAAGCTTGAACATGTAAAAAAAAAAACATTAATGACTTTCATAGCATGAACCAGGAAAACATTTAAAATCTGTTAAACCTAGTAATAATTATTTCAAAATGTTGCCTACTAATGATGACTTACTAATTATCACTTTGTTGTCTTAGTAACTACCTACCCTTGCTGAAGAGTTGACAGATTTTCAAATCTACAGATTGTGACATATAAGAATGTGTGAAACCTGGTGGGTGAGCCATCTTAGGCCTCAGTTTCTCCATGTGAAATGGGAGGAACTGGGCTGAACGAGATCTAGGTTGTCCTTCCATTCTGAGTGTGTTCTCTCAAGATAATGCTTGTGTTAATAAGGACTGCAGGGCTCAGTCAGTCAATGGGTTATGTTCCTTAAACCTTATCCAAAACATCCCGGGTGTTATGTGTTTCAAAATTCAGATTTTTTACATTTCTTTTGGATTTTATAATGGTAATACATTACAAAACAGTATATTATATAATCCCCCCAGCAAGGTATGGGGCAGCTCCATGTAATTAAGCTCATTATGGATTCTGTGGCCACTGGTATGAAATTGAGGGCGGTGACAATCAGGGACTCTAAATAGGTTGTCATTAGCTCAGGTCAGTTACTGTGGCTAAACACATTACGGACAATCTTTTTTTCTTTTTTTTCCTATTTGTTTTTACTGCATTTTGGATTTCAGAATGGTGGATAAAGATTGCGAATTTGCACAGCTATAAAGCTTACTAATTAAAGACTACAAACACAAAGAGAGCAAGCCTTGTGATGACTGCACAATAACGAGGATTCAGATACAACGTGGTCGCCACCTGACGCCCACCTCCACAAAAAGCCATTCTCAAAAGGAGAGAGACATTCATATCCAGAAGAGGGAGTCGGCTGTAGGGTAGAGGTATGAAATTCTCAGTCAGTTTTTACTTTGTTGGTTCCAGTATGATTTTCATTATCCTTACTTTTGTGTTTTTTATGGCAATGTAAACATACAAACTAGTGGGAAACAATGCGGTCTTTTATTAATTTGCAGTAACCCACATTGTAAGCAATGCAATGATTCAGACCTTAGTTATCAAGAGGTTTTATTATAGAACCACTAGTAACTCATAGACTCTTCCTGTTATGTGAAATAAATGAAGACCAGCCAACTAAGAAAGGCAAAGGCTATGTATTCTGAGCTCATCTGGATCAGAGGAGTCAGCACTGTCATTTGTGTTTGGCAGAGACTGAAAGGCAGGTAAGGGGCTGTGAAGCTTTATAGTGGAAAAAAGGGAAGGCTCAGTGTGCCCTGACTAGAGGCTGTTGGCTTGGGGAGCTGGAGGCAGGCTACCTAGAATTGGAGCATCCTATGGGATTGGCTAGGAGAGCATATTTGGTTTTCTCTGTTTGTTACTTAGTTGGGAGTGAGGGCAAAATTTAGAGAAGCTGTCAGTTATTAATCAAGGGGTGGTCATTTTGGGCAGATTGCTCAAAAGTGGAGTTTCTGGATGAGAGTACTGTTTTCTTTTTTTAGAGACAGGGTGTCTCTCTCACCCACCCTGGAGTGCAGTGAATGATCATAGCTCACTGCAGTCTGGAACTCCTGGGCTTAAGTGATCCTACTGCCTCAATGTCCCACAGTTTTGGGATTATAGGGGTGAGCCACTGCATCCGGCCCAGAGTATTATTTTCACATATGGTCTAGTTGTCAGCCTTTTGCGTAGTTGCCCTCTCAGTGTATGGCAGCTCCAGTGGTAGTTACAGAGTTTCTAAAAAGGAGAGACTCACAGGGGTAAATTTATGAATGGAGAATCTCAGGAAATTGTTATGACCCTGCATTTGCATAGAAAACTCCATCGTTTTTCTTGGGTTATTTGTTTACATGAAGAAGCTTCTGAGCAGGACCCACTAGACACAAGAGGTTGCAGGAGCCTGCGCTGCATCCTGCAGTCCACAGCTGCAGAGAATTTTTGTGTTAAATTCATCTCATTCTCATCAAGGAGCTGACATTAGCTTTCTAATTGTGATCAAACAGCAAAAAGACTTTAAGAACAGTCACGAATTTCAAATCTTAAATAAAATGTTCTCTTTTCATGCAAATCTCCCTCCTAATGAAGTATGCTACCAAATAATTTGCTTTGCAGTTCCCAGGGAAGTTATTGAGAAAATGATGAATGGAAAGAAGGGGGAAAGAATAGAAAGATTGGAAAGAGAGATGGGCCAAAGAGCTTCTGAGTAACTTGAACAAAATCAAATACCAGGAAAATTAATGATTAGTCAAACTAATCGATTTATAAGATGAATGGTCCACTCAGAATAAAAATAATGATATTAAATGGCAGAATAACTGCATTTGAGGTTATTGGAAGGAAAGAAAATCTCCACAGTGACTGGAGTTAATGGCCTGCTCCTGCCCTGCTATCAACTTCCTTCATTCAGAATATATATATTTTCTCTCTCTCTCTTCCTCCCATGGAATATTAATATCTATATGACTATTGGATTTGCTCACAAATCATAATAAAGCAAAATTATGATTTGAATATTACTCCCATATTTTGAGTACTCCCCAAAGTGCCTTTTGACTGATTAGAGTGATTTTTCATTTAGTGCATGAAGATACTGAGTTTAAAATGAAGGCTGTATACATAGCCCCTAAATTCATAATATCATTTTGCATTTTTATGAAGATGTTCGTCTGAAGATTTCAAAGCCCACTGCTGATTTAAGGTCATTCACATTCAGCCATGAAGCTGCTCTGAAGACACAGGAACTGCATAGCTCCCTACTGGGAATGTCAAGGGCTGTGAAAGGTCTAAGGTTTTATCCTACTTGCAACCAACAAGCTATGCAGCCACAGTTTTATGGATGCTGTCAAAAGACATGACACTCCTGGGTAAGAGACGAAAGACTTTACCACTTGTGGTGTAGTAGCCAGCTGGAGCATCTTGTGTTTTGAGTTAGTGCCAGTTGTCCCCTAAGTCCCACAGGTAAGGATGCAAGTTTTCCCAGATGGAGGCAGGGAAGCATGCAGGCATGGGGTGGTGATGCAGGAACGGAGCTCTGAACTTAGAGAACCCAGAGCTTTAATAATGGGTGGAAAGTGTATCATTCACCTGCTCTAGAAAAAGACATGGAGGGAGTCTCCTTCATAAAAGGACGTTTCATAGTGGTTGCTATTCAAATATCCTTGGAAAGATGGGCTGAGACACAGGGTGGCCAGTGCCTCTGCTCACAAGGTGTACCCAAATCCAGAAGCCCATGAAAAATTATCTTCCAAAACAATGATGAATTTTCCCATGAGCATACCACTCCACTGGCCACTATGATTAATCTGGTCAATTATTCCCCCTCTAGCATGCAGTTTAGGCTGCTAACAACAGCATGAGGGCAACCTGCTGTGGTGACCTAAGCTATGACACCCCACCCCAAGTCCGGGATGCAGCTAACTGAGCAAACTGCATGAACTGGGAGGCGGCCGACCATTGTTCACGCCTCTCCTTCGCGTATGTGTTTTCTACTGTTCTTGCACTGTAAAGGCAGAGGTTGCATCGGGCCCTTATGCAAAGCCCCAAATAATTACTGGCTGACTCTTCTCAGGGAACATTTGCTAACCCTGTCACAAGCCATAAGGTTCCACCACAGATTGCCCTGTGGCTCTCTCGTTACGTTTCTGTGTGGACGTTTCCACATGGTCTGAGGCATTCATCCAAGAAGAGCAGGATGTATTAGTGACTGCACAGATTCTGCCTTGGCCCACAAAGAGGACATCCAGGGCAGTCCTGGTCATCTGTAATAACATTGCCCAGTGAGTTGAGGCTGACCTGAGTACTGACTTGGGTTGAGTTGGTGTCACTGATCACTTCAGCCAAAGATGGGACATTTCTTAGCACCTGTTCTGATTGGCTGACTTCTATGGTCAGGATAACGGCTCTCAGGATGCGTATAACTGCCAAGTCTCTCCGGGAAGCTTCCCTGGGTTACCAAGGAATCCTCATGTCTGAGAGAGCTCCACCATCATCCAAGGGCCACACGGAGTTTCTTGCAATGCTTCAAGGTCTCCTGTAATAACTCCTATGATAGAAGTCACTGTGTTTTGGGGAGGTAGACTGCAGCATGCAGTTTTGACAGCATGACCAAGGTCATTGTTCAGGTCTGATTATTCAAATTCAAAAAACTGCAACCTCAGGCATAAAAGATTAAGGATGGAGCCCAAGTCTCTGGGTCCCCAAGGGGGACTGAAGCACATACTCACCCATCTGAATATGCTGGAGAACAGGAAGGAGAGACTCAAGCTTGTCTGGGTCTGTTGGATACAGACTCTCCCATCTCCACCCCATCAGGTCCTATGGAGGCCCAAGTTCAGCTGATGAAGTTAAGGGAGTGCTCAGTGCAGAAGGGTGGGAGGGCACTTGGGGCATTTTGGGGTCCTGTTTTTGTTGCTTCTGCATCTGATACAGCAGGAATTGAAGTATTGCACACTTGTCCTTCCCATTTCCAAGTGCTGCCTTCCCATCAGTAAGAGCCACAGTTAGAGAGGGACCAACAGGAGGATAACTCCCACATGCTTAGCATTCCAATAATGGAACACTAGGCATAAATTGATAAGATGCTTTCAATGCAATCAGTACTCTGCCAGGATTCACTAAGTAGAGAATGACTAAATATTTACCCATCTCCTAACAAAAATGCACAACTGAGGACAGATGTTTTGCACTTTTATGTGTCTACGGACTGTGTAAGAGGATTTGGCTGGGTCATCATCTTCTTCTTCTTCTTAGACTGGTTGATGGTGACCGTTCATTGATCCAATATGGTAAAGTCATGTCCTGGTCTGTGTTCTTCGGGGTCCACAACCCTCTTTAACAGCCTGTTGTAAGGTTCTCGACCACGTCACTGTCTAGCTAAACCATTCTGCATTTCAGTAGGTAAACCAGCAGGAGGGCTTAAAAACCACATTGCCCTGTCCACATCCCTATTTCTGATTCTTTTCTGGCCTGCGATCCTACATCTCTATCCTCACTTTAAACTGTTTTCCTCTTTTCTTCTCCTTTTTCCTGACCTCCTTTATGTTTTTCATTTCTCCTCCATCTGAATATACCAAACCATCCTTTTGCTTCCTCTTTTCTCTTCATTAATTATTCTAGGGGCTATTTTTTTTATTAGGAAGATGTATTATTTTAACATGCTTTATAAAGTTAGTGGCATTAAGGAATTAATGTCCTTGGAAACTCATACATGTTCAGCTTCTAGAAACCCCTGATTCCAAGGAGCAAAAACATGCCATCTCTGACAGTGTCCACAAGAACAATACCAGATCAGACGATAAAGCCAACACACAGCATAGCCAATGGCCACACATCCAGAAAACACTCTCAACAAATTTAACCCTTCAGTATTCACTGTAGCCAATATATATTCAATATATATAGCTGACTTTGTTTTTATATTTGATGAAGTCCTGCTATTTGAAATAAAATAATCAAACCAACAACAACAACAACAAAAACCCCATACATGGTGATAGCATATGTGAGGCAGTAGCAATTTCTCCATCTTTTCTGTCCTGTCTTTCCTGTTCTTCGTTCCCATGCTAAGAAGGGATGGATATATCTCGGAGATTACACAGGTTCTAGTCAAAGACTTCATTGTGAACGTTTGTTTCACATTTTCCCTGGATAAGGACTAATTAAAAGTTTGGAAAAGTATACCTTTTTTTTTTTTTTTTTTTGCAAACTTACCCATATTATGTGCTTTTTCTTGATACAGCTGCTAATCTTTGCTGTATATGTAGTGTTAGGAAGTCTACTTTAATACACACACACACGTTTAATGAGGTAAAATATGCATAACATAATTACCATTTTAACAATTTTTAAGTGTAGAGTTCAGGGGCAAGTACGTTCATGTTCTTGTGCAACTATCACCACCATTTTTTCTCCAGAACCCTTTTTATCATCTCAAACTGAAACTCTGCACCCACTGAACAATAACTCCCCGTTCTCTCCTCCTCCTAGACCCTGGTAACCCCTCATCTATTTTCTGTCTCTGTGTATTTGACTATTCTAGGTACCACATTAACGTGGACTTACACAGTATTCGTCCTTTTGTGACTGGCTTAGTTTATTTAGCATAAGATCCCCAAGGTTCAGCCGGGTGCCGTGGCTCATGCCTGAAATCCAAGCACTTTGGGAGGCCAAGGTGGGTGGATCACCTGAGGTCAGGAGATTGAGACCAGCCTGGCCAACACGGTGAAACCTCATCTCTACTAAAATACAAAAATTAGCTGGGCCTGGTGGCGGGCGCCTGTAATCCTAGCTACTAGGTAGGCTGAGGCAGGAGATTAGCTTGAACCTGGGAGGCGGAGGTTGCAGTGAGCAGAGATGGGACCACTCCACTCCAGCTTGGGCAACAGAGCAAGACCCTGTCTCAAAAAAAAAAAATTCAAGGTTCATCCATGCTGTGGCATGTGTCATAATTTCATTTCTTCATATTCCTGAAATACATTTCTAAATATAAATTTTTCATTACTGTTTTCATTTCAAGTTAAGTTTATCAGATCCTGTAGTCCAGGGACTTCAGTCTCTTTGAATTATGTCTTTCTTGGACAATTTGGGAGCTCTTTTGAGAAACTGAATACAATTTGAATACACTAAAATCTGAATCACACCATAGATAACGACATAGTGTCTTAGTGAGAAGAAATTTGATTCTGCTGACTAGGATACTAAAGTTTGACCTTTATGGTCATCTCTTAATAAAATAAAAGGAGAGCACTGGGCTATTAAATAGTTTATTCATGGATCATAGGGTGAATAAGACCTAGATCCTAGAGGAAATCCTCCCCACAAAGACACTCAGACTTTTATTCCTGTCAATGTTCTTGTGGATTTCAGGGAGCAATGATGGCTATAAATCTGCAACTCATAGCATTTCAGGCTAAACACATTCAGCCTTTATTACCATTGTTCATTTGACCTCTTTATCCAATTTTTTTCCCACCCACTTGCCAATATCACCTTGTTCTTATGTAGGCTGTGTTTCAGCCAGCTTAAGCCTTACTAACAAATGAGGTGAAATCCATCTGAGGAGGAAGCCGGGGCATGGTGGATTGAAATAGCTTGCCTCAGGAGCAGAAAATTTGGTGTGGATCAAGAAATAGAACTCCAAAGTATACCTTTCCAGTCATTGGCTTTAGCTGGAGCCAGCATCCTTCAATGAATCAGTCAACATTTACCTATCTGTTCCCCACAGCAGTTTTGCAAATCGCTTTCAGAAATCATTGAACCACTAACAGTTTATCCACTCTGCAAAATATACACAGCTCTTCCCATATCCAGGAGGGTTATCCCTTCTCAGCTGCGTTCAACACTTTTTACAACCCCTGATTTCAATAAGCAGAATACATCCACCTGCTTAGGGAAATTACTCTTACCATATAATTGCCTCTTATGTTGAAATGTCCATGAGACCCTCTCATGAAATAGGGGACAAGATAAAGCACAGATTTTCCCCCAACTCAAACATGCCTGTCTCATACATGTCATGCCCTTGGAAATGGCCAACACTGCTCTCTGCCTCCTGTTTAGGGTTAAGGCTTTCACTATCTCTTGCCACCTCTGATGAAATTACTAACAAATATATTATCCTTACCCTTTGTCTTCTATTCCAGCACTTCAAATGCATCAAAGGTCCAGAGAGAAGCTTCTTCTGGTCACCTTGATCTTGTGATGCAAGGCAGGTGGGAGCAAGGGCTCCACCTCTGCAGACACAGAGATGACGGGGTCGCCATGCCGGCGTTTTAGTCCCGGTTTCCTCTGCTCGAGTAGTTGGTGGCCTCCTGCCTGTTCCCTAACATAACTTCACTTTCCTTACCTGCAAAACGAAATTAGTATTTCCTCCCTCACAAGGTGCTTGATGCCCTTCCCCTTGCGTTTACTTTGCCTGAGAGACTATATCATATCTATGATTTTGTGAATGGGGCAAAAGGAATTGAGAGTGTCAGGGTATACCTTATAAATAAGCCACTAAAGGTTACATCCTCATTCCACAAACTGACCTAAACAATTTGGCTGTCACTAATAGATTATTTTGGTCAGTTATGGCATTTAGAGGGAGAAGAGAGAGTATATATATATGGGTGGGGTGTGTGTGTATGCGTGTGTATGTGTGTGTTTACAGTCAAAATACCAAAATATATCTATGTATATAAATATATTTGCTTTCTTTGTTTTTGTTACAATAAACTTGTACATACAATTCTGACACACATATTTTCATATGTAGGCACAAAAATAGTCATACAAAAAATACCACAAAAGGTAATAACAAAGTGGAAGAAGACATAGGAACAGAGAACAAACCAACACATAGAAAAAGTAACAAACATGGTAGATACGAATCCAGCTATATCAATAATCGCGTTAAACATCAATGGTCTTAAATATACTAGACAGTGGAATATTATTCAGCATTGAAAAGAAATGACCTATCAAGCCATGAAAGACAAGGAGGAACCTTAAATGCATGTTACTGAGTGAAAGAAGCCAATCTGAAAAGGCTGCATCCTGCAGGATTCTGACTCTATGACATTCTGGAAAAGGTAAAACTACTAAGACAGTGAAAAGATCAGTAGCTGCCAGGGGTTACGGGAAGGGGATGATGAATAAGTGGGGCACAGCATTTTGAGGAGGTGAAACTACTCTGTAGGATACTGTAACAGTAAATCCATGTCATTATATGTTTGTACACACCCATAGAACACCAGGAGGACAGCACCAAGAGGGAGCCCTAGTGTGAACTGTGGACTCTGGTTGGTAATGATGTGCCTGTGAAGCTTCATTGTTTGCAGCAAATGCATCAGTGTGGTGGGGGATGTTTCTAAATTGATAATGAAGGACGCCATAGGTGTATGGGGGCAGAGAGTTTATGAGAAATCTGTACCTTTTGCTCAATTTTACTGAACATAAAACTGCTGAAGCCATCATTCTCAGCAAACTAACCCAGGAGCAGAAAACCAAACGCCGCATGTTCTCACTCATAAGTGGGAGTTGAACAATGAGAACACATGGACACAGGGAGGGGAACATCGTCACACACCGGAGCCTGTCGCAGGGTGGGGAGCTGGGGGAGGGAGAGCATTAAGACAAATACCTAATGCATGTGGGGCTTAAAACCTAGATGATAGGTTGATAGGTGCAGCAAACCACCATGGCACATGTATACCTATGTAACAAACCTGCACATTCTGCACATGTATCCCAGAACTTAAAGTAAAATATATTAAAAAAATTAAAGTCTATTTTAAAAAAAGAAAAACAATCAGCTAACCTACTTTGGTAGCTCTGTTCTGCGCTGTCGGGTCTTCCATCCTAGCGTGTGACACAGGAGGGTTTCGCTGGCAGGACCCGCCCACTGCACATGCAGGTTCAGGTGACAGAGACCTCTGGAAAGATGAGGCCCGTGGGAGCAGGGGGCTTCTTGTTGACACTGAAGGTCAGGCTTCAGGAATGCCAGGGGCTCATAAAATCTTTTTCACTGAACATTATGCTGAGCAGGATTCATTTTACCAGTGAAAAAATATTTCTGACATCCTTTGTGCTTTTTAACAAAGCCTGTGGTGTGGATTTGCATGATTCTTAGATTGCTGAGTAACCACTTCGGGAGGGTTCTTGATTAGGGCACTAAAAATGTTAACACAACACCCGTGGGATGTAGATTAAGGTCAACTTGTCCTTGTGCGTCTCTCCTAGTGTTGATGGCAGAGTCTTAGTATTTCAGCTGACGAAATCTCTGCCCATTCTCTTCCAATGTTCCCTAATAAGCTACAGGAGGACAGAGACAAAAGTTTGACTTCATTAGTAACTTTTGGAAGTTGCCCAATTTAGGAAAAAGAGTTAATAAATCAGGAATTTTATAAGAACTTTTTGTTAAATCTGTAGTTATTCAAATCAGCCTCAGCATGATAAGACAACACTACAGGTTATTATAAATAGTTGAAAAAGAAAAATTAAATTCCAACCAAACAATTGATCCTTAACTTTTTTTTTTTTTGAGACGGAGTTTTGCTCTTGTTGTCCAGGCTGGGGTGCAGTGGCACAGTCTTGGCTCACTGCAACCTCCACCTCCCAGGTTCAAGCAATTTTCATGCCTCAGCCTCCTGAGTAGCTGGGATTACAAGTGCCCGCCACCAAATCTGGCTAATTTTTGTATTTTTAGTAGAGACGGGATTTCACCATGTTGACCACGCTGGTCTCGAACTACTGACCTTAGGTGATCTGCCCACCTCGGCCTCCCAATGTTCTGGGATTACAGGCATGAGCCACCACATCTGACCGATCCTTAACATGTGATAAAACAAATGTTATGTTGCTCAGCACATAGTTCAGGTACCCATTTTGAAATTCACTCTTCATCACACAGTGCCCCTTCTTCTCCTCTCCTGTGGAGACTGAGTTCTCATCTCCCTGTCTTAGATAGCATGAGACCCCTTTCTCTACTGTGGCCTTAGTGAACCCAGGAAGGGATCCTATACTGCACATGAGTGTGGGAAAGAGAGACTGTGGCTTGACGTCTTAGGGAACTTTTTTTTTCCAAAGGCTGGCAGAGACTCTTTCTTTCCTATAGTATAGTTCTTTAAACATCACACTCTTTTACAATCCTAACTAACTTTGTGATCGTGTCTTCCATAAATACCCCAGAATCCCAGTCAGAATATGCACTGTAGGAAGGGACTAGTCTGGGACTCAAATGATTAGATGAGTTCAGGGAATATGTCTAATGATGGATTTTGAGCTGGGTTTTTGAGTGTCGTTTTCAGTATCTTCATCATGTCCATAGCTATCATAGGCTAAGAATAAAACCAGACTGGTTTTCCCTAGTCAGCATTCTCTTTGTCTGATCTTCAGAGGTAAAGTCCAGATGCTGTAAGCCTTGACTGGTGCGGTGGTGTAGGGCTAGCAGCACGCTACAAAAAACGAGGGCCACGCAGTCCTGGGGAGGAAGACTCTACAAGTGCAATGTGGGGAAGGAGACTCTACAAGTGCAATGTGCCCGAGGCGGGCGGATAACTTGAGGTCAGGAGTTTGAGACCAGCCTGGCCTACATGGTGAAACCCAGTCTCTACTAAAAATACAAAAAAAAAAAAAATATTAGGCATTGTGGCACACACCTCTAATCTCAGCTACTTGGGAGACTGAGGCAGGAGAATCACTTGAACCCGGGAGGCAGAGGTTGCAGTGGGCCAAGATTGCGCCATTGCACTCCAGCCTGGATGACAAGAGCGAAACTCCATCTCAAAAGAAAAGAAAAGAAAAGAAAAGAAAAAAGAAAAGAAAAGAAAAGAAAAGATATCATTTGGGGATTCTGCTGCCTTGCCTGGGTCCTGGCACAGGAGTAGTGGATGCCTGACCATGCCTGGGTTGTCACCAATGAAAAATTAGCATCTGTAGGATTCTGGAGGAAAATGGCAGTCTTTCGGAAACTGAGCCATCTTTTAATACACTTTTCCAGGCTTCCTAATGGTCTGCTAACTACATTTTGGAACTTATCCAAAATAGATCTGGAGATCTATGTCTCCTTTTAAAAAATTAACTTACTTATCTTAAAATAAACTTTATTGGCAACAGTCTACCTTAAATTAAATGCACGTGTTTTTAATGTATAGACTGATGAGTTTTGACACATGTGACCACCACCTTGATCCAGACACAGAGCACTTCCATGTCTTCAGAATGCTCTCACCTGTCCCTTCACATCCCTCTGTCTACCCCCTACCCCACCCCAGGTGGCCTGAGCTGGTTTTCACCATTATAAGTTTTGCATGTTTTAGAACTTCACATAAATTGAATCATATAGAACATACTCTTTTGTATCTGACTTCTTTCAATTGGCTTTATGCTTTTAAGATTCATTAATATTGTGGTGTGTTAGATACACACAAAAAGTGTGCCCCTTTTTACTGCTGAATGGTGTTTCATCGCAACGTTTAGCGTAAATTACCGGTGGACAGGCATTTGGGTTGTTTCCAGTGTGACTATTATGAATAAAGCTGCTCCAAACACTAGTATATGAGGCTTTGGGTACATTGTTGTTTGCTCATTTTTAACATTGTCATAGATAAATACATTGGACTGGACTTTCTGGCTCATAGGTTTCATTTTATAAAAGGTACAGAACTATTTTCTACAGTGGGTGTGGAGTTTTACATTCCCACCAGCAAGGTATGTGGATTCCACGTGCTCCACATCCTCATTAATTTTTGGTAGTGTCAGCCTTTTTAATTTTAGCTAATCGAGTGTGTGAAGTGTTTCTCATTTTAATTTTAGTTAGCACTTCCATGATGAGTAAAGCGGAACATCTTTTCATGTCTAAGATTAAGAAAAATCTTAATACCTGAATATCTTTGTCTGTTCAAATAGTTTGCCATGCTTTTAAAAAAATACTTGGATTGTTTGTTTCCTTATTATTAACTTGTGATATATAAAAATTATTATGTTTCCAATACATGTGTATGTGTGTGTGTATGTGTAAGTGAGTCTTTATATCCTATATCATTTTTCTGTTTTTACTCTAAGTTCTGGGATACATGTGCAGAACATGCAGGTTTGTTACATAGGTATACATGTACCATGGTGGTTTATTGCAACTGTCAACCCGACATCTAGGTTTTAAGCCCCACATGCATTAGGTATTTGTCCTAATGCCCTCACTCCTGTAGCCCCCCACCCCCTCGACAGGCCCCGGTGTGTGTTGTTCCCCTCCCTGTGTCCACGTGTTCTCATTGTTCAACTCCCACTTATGAGAACATGCGGTGTTTGGATTTATGTGTGTGTGTTAGTTTGCTGAGAATACCGAAAGGATTATAAATCGTTCTACTATACAGACACGTGCACACGTATGTTTATTGCAGCACTATTTCCAATAGCAAAGACTTGGAACCAACCCAAATGCCCATCAACAATAGACTGGATAAAGACAATGTGGCACATATACACCATGGAATACTATGCAACCATAAATAAAATGAGTTCATGTCCTTTGCAGGGACATGGTTTAAGCCAGAAGCCATCATTCTCAGCCCCGCATGCTGACAGTTTTATATATACTTACTATTATATATAATATATAATATATAATTATATATATAATTTTTTGTATATTGACAGTTTGTCTAATTGTTTTATCAAATACTGATTGTGAACTTGTTTTAGTTCACCTATTTTAGTTCAAGGATAGTGTTTACTGTTATTCGTTTTAGTTCACTTCTTAATAAAGCTTGAGGTTTCAAGCTTTGCCAATAGATATATATTTATTTAGGATAGTATATCTTCCTTATAATTCTCTTTTTCTCTTTAATACTCTTTATTGTGAAGTCTGCTTTTATTATGTTGATATAGCTATGTTAGCATACTTTTATTGGTTTGCATGTTGTACATTTTCTTTCCTTGTAATTCAAGGAATTTGTCTTTTTTTAAAATAGCTTGTCTTTTAGGAAGTATATATATTGCTTTTTATCAAATGTGAAAAAATATGCCTTCTGATGAGATCTTTAGTCTAATTAAGTTTAACGTCATTGTAGACATAGTTGGATTTAATCATTCAATTTTGTGATTTTCTTTCATTTGTCACTTCTGTTTGTTCCTTTATTGCCCTTTAACTGCTTTTATTTTATGTAACTTATTCTTAGAATTCCGCTTTATTCTCTGCACTGCAATTCTGCACTAGACATATTTTTAACTTATTTTTAGTGGTTGCCCTAGGGCTGACAATATGAATCGTCAATTTATCAAAGATTATGTAGAGTCAGCATTTTACCATTTCACACCTTATACTCCACACCCTACAGTTCACAATTCACATGTTATAACTCATGCTTGCTGCCTCCTGCCACTCTCATAACACTCCACTTTCCAGATGTAACAGAATTATGAGATTGCAGTCTCACTCACCTGCCCACCATCATCCAAGCTCTTCTTGTCACACATCTTATATCTATATATGCTATAAAATTTACCTTATGATGTTATTTTTTAAACAGTTTTTAAAAGAAATTAGGAAAATGGAAAAGTCTTTTTTATTTTCCAACGTAGAGCTGCTTTTAGTATTCTTTATTCTTTTGTCAAATTCAAGTTTCCAATAGAAATCATTTTCTTTCATCTTGAGAATATTACTTGGCATTTCTTAGAGTTTAAGTCTACTGGTGACAAATTCTTTGGAAAAATCTAATTTTACTCTTGTTTTTGAAGGATATGTTTACTGGATATAGGGCTCTGAGCTGTTTCTTTTATGTTTCAGTACTTTAAAGCAGTCATTTTATTATCTTCTAGTATTATTTGATACGAATTAATAGAAAGTATACAACATTTCTCTTTTTTTGTAATACATCATTTTGCTCTGGTTGCTTTTAAGATTTCATCTTTATCTTGGACAGTGTTACATCTGCTTTTCTTTTTATTTATTCTGCTTTGGTGTGTAAGTTGAAGTTTTATTAAAACCTGGGGATTTTACAACTATTCTTTCTTCAAATACTTTTCCTCTCCTATCCTCACGGTCCTTCTGGAACTCAAAATATTAGCATACATGTATTAGGTTGTAGCATATATTATACTATACATGGATGCTAATCTGCTTGGTATTCTCTCGTGGGACCAGGAGACTCTGCTCGTTTTTCTTCAAGGATTTATTTTTCTCCTTTGTACTTCAGATGCAATAATATCTATCAACACCTTTGATTTACTGACTCTTTTACTCTGCCAAGCTTATGCAGTAGATTTTTTGGTTCAGGAATAGCCTTTTCAATGCTGGAACTTTTCATTTGGTTTCTGCCATGCTTTCCGTATCTTCACTGAGGCTGTGTCTCTATTCATTCATTAAGATCATATCTTCCTTTAATTATTTCAATATAATTACAATAGCTTGCTAAATCCAACATCTGTGCCATAAAAGGGATATATTTCTAACGGACTGTTTTTCACCATGGGTCATATTTACTTATTTTTTGTATATCTCATTTTTTTTTGTTATCGTGTCCTGGGACATTGTAGATGACACATTGTACAACCTCTGAATTCTGTTCTCATCCTCTGAAAAGTGTTGATTTTTTATTAGCAGGCAATACAGTTACTGCTGATGACTTTGAACTTGTATAGAATTGCTTTTTTAAAAATTGTATTTTCTTAAAATTACTTATTTATTTAGAGATAAAGTCTTGCTGTGCTCCCTAGGCTGGAGTGCATTGGTGTCCTCATAGTTCACTGCAGCCTTAAACTACCAGGTTCAAGTGATCCTTCTGTCTCAGCCTCCTGAGTAGCTAGGGCCACAGGCACACACCATAAAACCCAGATCACGTTTTGTTTTCGATAGAGATGGAGTCTTATTATGTTGCTCACGTTAATCTAGAACCCCTGGGCTTAAGAGATCTTTCCATCCCAGCCCCCCAAAATGCTAGGATTACAGGCATGAGCCACCATGCTAAACCTAGACTTGGTTTTATGCTTTGTCAGGGCTGATCTATGGAAAGACCAATTCATTTCCCTGAACCTCCGAAATCTCCCTTCTCTAAGGATTTTTTTGTGACAGATGATGTTTTAGGCTTTGTGAAGGTGGGGCCACAGTAGGAGTTACTCTAGGGGGTGGCTTCTATGCCCAAAATGAGACATCTGGGGACTCAGCTCTGTGCCTGAATGCTGTTGATGAGGTATCTTTAACGTCTCTCCATCATAGCAGGCTGGACTCCCAATGTCCTTCAGCAGGACTCTCCTATCTCTGTCCTCCGCTTAATCGCCCCTTAACATAAACCCTTAAGCAGGTTTATGTTAAGATGGGAGCAGTCATAGCTGCATAAGCATATGCAGCCCAAGCTCATGACGTGTCCCCAAAGGGATGCTTGCAATCTCCATGACACCCTCTTCTTCTGCCCCACAGACTCCCAAACCACCCAGACACTGACCCCTGCCTTCTCACCTCCCTGGAGTTGCCATTCTCTGCATGGGGGCCAACTTCCTGTACTGCTGTTCAGGAATTGGTCCCCCACAGAGAGCCAGGAGAATCGTGAGCTTCCTTTGTCCCTGTGGTCATATTCTTATGCTGCATATTCTTGTCCAATGCCTGAAAACAGTTGCTTCATAGATATGGTCTAGTTTGGTGTGTGTTTGTGAGACCAGACCATAAAAATTACTCCCTCATAGTCAGTGACATATTTAAAATTCTATTAAATAGTAATTTTTAGAACAATACCTCTGCTAATCAGAATACCTGACACATAATGAGTGTTTCTAGGGAAGCAGATGTGCATTACTCGAGGCGTTGGCATTGCCTTACTTCACTCTTACATCAGTCAGGGGAATTAGGATTTACTATCCCCATTTAACAATGTGAAGACTAAGGCTGAAGCAGGATGAATAATTTATTCAGTGTTATGTGCTAAGAAGGGCAGAGCAGCAATTTAAAGACAATTTTGAATGATTTCAAAAGTCATGCACATGATATATATCTCTACCCACAACACTTGCACATGCTGCCTTTACCAACCAAATCATACTGGAGGAAGCAGAATGTTTGAGCTGATAAAGAACCTTTACAGAAATGCCCAAGAAAAACTACCTGTCTCTAAATATTTTGGAAGAAACCTCTAAATAACGTATTTCTTGAAGCTGTGATTGCCAATTATTGATTCCCTGCAGAAAGCAAGCAAACAAATACATAAAGACAAATGGAGTACAAATTTTCTTGAGAACTAACTAGAAATGCGTATACAAATAAAAGTAAGGGTTTATTACCGTTTTGTAAAAATCTGAATACTCATGTTAATTTTTCTGAAGCGTAAAATAATCTGGTATGGGTGTTTTCGTCAGCTCTTGTTGCAATATTGCTGTGGAAAAAGTCACAAAGACAGAAAACCAAGAGCCTGTATTTCTTTCTCATGGGATTACAGGTTATTTGCAACTTACCTGGCTAAGCTGAACTCCAGAATTTGGACTAGAGGCTTCAGGATGCTGGTGCAGTTCAAGTCTGGTCCACATGTCTCCTCCTCCTTCGAGGGTCATTGACTACTTTGTGTATCTTCTTTTCATGACAGTTCATATGAGTGCAAGATGGCTCGATAGACTTGCACACAAGTTTAAAGATTTTTGTATACACCTCATTCCATTGTTAAAGCAAGTTGCATGGTCAAATCTAACATCTCTGGACAAGGACATGCATTCATACCACTCTACTGCACTGCAAGCTCACGCAGAGGAGCAGATCATAAAACGTGATTGATGCATGATGATGATAATGACCAACCTACCATCATGGACATGACCGTATGTTGATACTAAGCCTCTTAGTAAAATGAGCTAAAGAAACCAGAACTATCTGCCTTCAGCTCAGCTGTCTGATCAAAAACTTGAAATCTGGAAACAGTGGTATCTGGAAAACCTACTAAAAGTGGCTTTGGGAAAATATCAATTAATGTCAATTTCATTAATTATTCAGGGAAATCCAATCCAGTAAGCTAAAATATGAACATATGTGAACATGTCAATAAGATTATCTTTACTTTTTGAGTTCCTTTTCAGGATTTAGAATAATTTTGTTAAAGGGGGACGTGAAATAATTATAATTTTAATTTATTTGAAAAGACATATAATTGTATTTTAGGCACTGTAATTAAGTTCACTATTTTAAAGTTAGGCTATAAAAATGAACTCAATATATTTGCATATAATAAAATGTAAGAAGTATATTAGCTCTTGTTTCTTAAAATACAAATATATATTGGCTTTTGAAACATTTAGAATGTAATAGCTCATGCTATCCATTTCCTTATATTCTGAATATTTTAAATCAGAAATCAAGTCTCATTGAGTTTTCCAATTCTCACACAAATACAAGTTCTAAACTTTCCTGTAGAATTTAGAAGTAAATTATTTGACTACTTTTTTCACGCTCAAACATTTCTAAAATTTTAACTAACCTCATTAGTATTTATATCTTACCCCTCTTAAAAAGGAAATTTCATGTAATTATTATTTTTATATAGATTTTTAATGTTTTACTATAATACAGACTTATTTTTAAGCTCTAGCTGAAAAATACCTCTTAGCTCAGATATTTATTTTTTTACTTGGTACCTCTTAGTTTAGATGTTCATTTTTTTACTTAGTAGCTTTTATAGTATAAACTATTAGTCAAAGAATATGGTCATGTTTAAAATAAGGTATATTATTTATTGAATACAAGCAATAGTTCAATGATTTAAGTTCTATATTTATCTTCTCAGAGTAACTTTCTGTCAGTAAGAGGCAGATTTATGCAAACACATTTAATAAACAATAGTGTATTTTAACATCTTTAACCTACTTTTGAAGAAATATTCTATGTAATTCAAGAAAAATAATTTGAGTAACAAATATTATTCTTAAAATATATACATATATTTGACATTAAACATATATTTAAGAGTTTATTTGACATTTTCATGTATTTTTACAGAAATATCAGAGATGCTTACGTAGAATTTGGAAAACTTTAATTTTCACCAAATACTCATGTGCTTTGGGCTTACAGCATATGAATTTTGGCAGAAGAGAAGTGAACCAGAATAGAAGGAGGAGGGGATATTTAATAAGAGATTACAAAAATGCTTTCTCTGGGTAAGAGATGTGGTCTTCATTTAATGTTCAACTTAAAAAAATAAAAATTATACCATGGAAAATGTGTGATTTACAAGATATGTTAACAAGTAATAAAACCTAATAAGTGGATTTGTATTTTTTTAAGAGCATAAAAATATCAGTTTGGCTATTCAAATGCATTAGGCTGTTATTTAGGTCCTCTTTTTCTTTATGTGCCCAGTACTTTCATCTTTAGACCTTACTAATGCTAGATGTCTTCTTGTCTTACTTGATAGTTTTATATTATATTTTATTCAGCCTAGTGATGGGAAGAATACGTTTACAATATGTTTACATTGCACATTAGTTTCTTGTCATATTTCCAGAGATTGGATAATAACTGATAACAAGAGACAGGGAGGTTTTCAGGATTTTAAGTCCTTTTTTCTAGGACTTGCTTCTTTTTGATAAAGCAGTCTCTACACTGGGTCTTTATATAGAGTACTTTTCTCTCTGTCCATAAATAGACTTGGTTATAGGAGAAATGGCGGAACAGTTTGAGAGTATGGAGTTTCAAAGCAGAGCTCATTATTGATGTTAATAATTTATTAATTTATTAAACGTGGCATGTGGAGTGCTGTTCTAAATGCTTTCATGCATCGATGCATGAGGGTGCTGTGTGCAGTGATGCCGGGTCACATTGCCAGGATCATCCTCAAGGACTGAATGACCCATTTGCAGGAGTGTCAGGACAGTGGATGCTGACTGATCACAGCAAAGTCTGTCTCCAGGAATAACCCCTGGCCGAGCAAGCAGCCTCACTCCCACTGGAGGCATCCTTGAAGGGTCACGGGCCAGCACAGTTCCAGAAGTCCCCCTACATTAGTATTTATATTGTGTGATTAATTCAGCTACTTATGTTGCATTTATATTTATGTTTTTTGATTATTGCTGTGTCTATGTGTTTATGTTTTTTGACTATAATATTTATGCTGTTTGTTTAATTCTGTATCAATTAAAAAAAGGAATGAATTAATGGCATTCGCAGCAACCTGGATGAGATTGGAGGCTATTATAAATGAAGTAACTCATGAAAAGAAAACCAAACATCATATATTCTCACTCATAAGTGGGAGCTAAGCTATGAGATGCAAAGGCATATGACTGACACAATGGGCTTTGAGGACTCAAGGGAAAAGAGTAGGAAGGGAGTGAGGGATAAAATACTACAAATTGTGTGCAGTGTATACTGCTCAGGTGATGGGTGCACCAAAATCTCACAAACCACCACTAAAGAACTTGCTCATGTAACCAAACACCAGCTGTTTCCCAATAACCTATGGAAATAAAAAAATTAAAAGATTTAATGAAAAATAAGTCTAGAAGAAGTTCTTAACCCTTAGAGTCTTGTGGTCACAGACATTTAGATCCATATTTTTATATCAGCAAAATAATATGGTGATGAGCAAAGCACTTTGAAGCATAGAAACATTTACATTAACATAAAATTATATGGAAGAAATGGAATAATGTTTATATTCAAGGAGAAGAAAATGATGTAGAAATGCCAACTGTTATTCGAGCTTTTTCATGTATATTTTCAATGGATGATCTGAGAGATAAAATCATTCTGGTATTTAGATTTCACTACGTAAATTTAAGATCACATGTCTAATTTTTAGTCGACCTCTTTTTATTTCTAAAACTCCCATATTTGCTGATATGAAAATTACATTATTTACAACTATTTCAACTTATAACAAAACTTTATATTATAGTTTTAAATTTATTTTTGGTGTTAAAAACAGGCAAAAATTTCCATCAAATAAGGTGATTCCGAATTGTCTTTTGGCTAAAAATTCAGTCATGCTCTCTTATTTGTTCTAGCAGGAGAGTCAGTCTAATCCAGTCTTTTGTGGTGATCACCCATTCATGGCGAAAAAGAAAATTATTAGCAGTGAAAGAAGGAACATCATGAGGCAAACCACAAGCAGGAGGTAGCAAAAATGTTAAGATTTTTTGAAAAAGTACATTTGATTCAGTCAATTAGTAATTTAGGAATTCTTTCTCCCAGTTGATGATCTAAAGTTTTCAAATCCGAGGAAGGTCTACACCAGCCTCCTGCTCACCTTCGTAAGTCTTGACAGGACATAATAAAGAAGTCCAATGAGATTCATATTAATCATAGCAATACTTAATTAAACTTAGTCTTCCCAGAGCTGCCATACAAATTACCACAAACTTCATGGCTTGAAACAATAGACATTTATTTTCTCACCGTTCTGGGGGCTGGATAGTCCAAAATCAAGCTGTTGGCAGAGCTATGCTTCCTCTCAGGGCTCTAGGGAGCCTCCTTCCTGCCTCACCCAGCTTTTGCTGCCTCCTGTGTCTTGGCATCTGGCAGCATCGCACCCATCTCTGGGTCCGGCATCATAAGGGTGCCTCTGAGTCTCTTTGTGGACCCTCCAGTCTCCTACACGGGCACTTTCCCCGGATTTAGGGCTCACCCCACTCCAGTCGCCCTTATCCTGATCTTTACTTTAATAACATCCACAAAGATCCTATTTCCAAATAAGTCACATTCTGAGATTCTGAGTGGACATGAAATCCGGGTGGACACTATTTGACACACTGGCATTTTATATATGCCATGTTATCAAATATCCTTACCACTCAACAACAATAAAAAGAAAGTAACTGAGAAAGGAACTTGTCATATCTCACAGATGAGGCAGTTTAGGTAGACTGACATGTGCCAAAGTCAAAGCTGAGATAGGATTCCAGGATATAGGGTGACAAGTGCCATTCTCTGTGCACCAGCCATTCTGTGGTGCTGGCCATTGCCCTACCTCTCCACCTACTCCATGTCTTCATGAGGACCAGTGGTGCATGTCCCTATCACTAGCCTTGGATGGGCATCTCCTTGGTGTTGGCGTCACTGAAGGACAGGGAAAGGGAAGTGTTTTATGAAACTTTGCCTCCAAGATAGATGCAAGGTTCCAACTCTACACATCCTTCCCAGCCCATGAGATGACCTTGACTTAAATGACAAAGAAGTGCTTTCCAGCAGATGGAAGTCCTCTGTTCAAAGGATGAGTCCATAAGAGCCTGCATAGTCCAGCCCTTCAGGTACTAAAAGCATGTGATGCTCAATTAAAGCAGACAATCTGGCTTTCTGTGTCCTCATAACTGACCCTGATCAGAAAAATATGCTTAACCGCTACAGGCAAAACACTGCAGTGTGCTTCAGGTATCATGCTGATCTTATTACTATGTGACCTTTTACATTTGTGGCACTTATGTGTTGTCCTTAATTGTTGAGTGAGTATTATCAGGATAAGAAACATCTACAATTTTTTCATGCAATCCTTTTTTTAAGACTGCTTTAAAACGAAATATGTTTATCACCTCTGACATTTTACTCTATGTCTTTATAAAATAAGTATATTGTATCTGGAAGGAAATTATATTCCCTTGATATATTTGTAAAGACTGAGAAAAAGAATACATTTCTTCCCTCAAAATGGAGAATCACTATAAGCAGGTGTTGATGGAGTTATATGGAGGCATAAAGAAGGCAAACAATAATTCCATTCCTCTGCAGGACAGTTGGAGGTCTGACTTCAAATCTTTATCCAGTTATTCTATGGTTCAACTGGAAGAACTGCTTTATTTCCAGGCAAGAAACATCATTTGAGATTTTTCATGTATATTTTCAATGGATAATCTGAGAGATGAACCATTCTGGTATTTAGATTTCACTACGTAAATTTGAGATCATGTGTCTAATTTTTATTTTTTATTTCTAAAACTCCCATATTTGCTGATATGAAAATTACATTCTTTACAACTATTTCAACTTATAACAAAACTTTGTAGCTGCCACAATAGAATAAAGAGGACTTACTCTATTGCACATTTCAGAAAATTGACCCACTACCAGCAAGAGAGGCAGTGACATTATATTGATCAACTGGCAGGATTGTAGAATTCTATCGATCAACTCTTACTTGTGGCACTAAACACTCAAAACATTATCACCAGCATATTTACAAACTTTGTGGATTTTCTACATTTTCAGACTACAATATTTCTGGTCATTCCAGCTTTATAATTTCATTCGAACAAATATTAGAGCCAAACAGACATTATGCTTTTCTTCCCTCTACTCTTCCAGCTGGAATCATTGCAGGAGTTTTGCTCATCTGCCAAAACTTAAATCAACAGCTTTATCTTGTCAAGAGCGAAGCATAATAAGAATTACATCCACAACAATTGTCAAAGTGTGGTTCATACTTAATTATCATAATGGAGTTCTTAAAATAAGATTGAGTCAATATATACATACATACAAAGGTGAAAAGGCAAGTGGGGTATGCAACATAGTAGGATTACCATCAATCTCTGAAAATGAGAGATCTTCCCTTTTATATGAAAAGACAGACGGCGTCAGCCTGCTCAAGCTGATCTGGAAATAAACTACATTAGCATTTACAACAAACCCATGGCACTAAGAGAGATAAATATGGCCTATATGAATATATTAATGATATAGACTGATGATATTGGAAACATAAAGAAAATTAATACATTAAAATGATACATTTATTAAGTTTACTCCTTAACTATCTTATCAAAATAAAAAAGAATTTAATCTTAGATGTTTTGAAAAATTCAGAAAGCTAAGACTTTATGTAAGTTTGAATAAAGATATCACTATAAACTGATTAAAGTATAATGAAGGAACCTCTCTCTTCAGAATGGAGAGGAGCTGGGTATGGTGGCTCATAACTGTAATCCCAGAACTTTGGGTGGCTGAGGAAGGATTGCTTGAGCCCCAGGAATTTGAGACTAACCTGGGTAATATCGTGAGACCCCCATCTCTAAAATATATATATATATATGTATGCTTCTTGTGGGGAAACAAAGCAGTTCCTCCAGTTGAACCACAGGATAACTGGATGAAGACTTGAAGTCAGAGGGGCATGGTGGTGTGTACCTGTAGTCCTAGCTACTCAGGAGACTGAGGAAGGAGGATCACTTGAGCCCAGGAAGTTGAGGCTTCAATGAACTATGATCACACTACTGCACTCCAGCCTAGGTGACAGAGCAAGACCCTGTCTCTAAATAAATAAATAAACATTTAAAAAATAAAAATAGGATGGAGTAGATAGGAGAATTTAAGTGTAATCAGAACTCATGTTAGCTTTGCCAGGTTTGACTGTGTTGTATTGTCTAAGGAGGACACAAAACATAAACCTCTTCACCTCCTCCGTCCAAAAGTGCAAATCTGAACTTGCTATAAAATTAAAGTTGATGTCATTTTGCAAGACCTTTAAGATCATAGGTGAGAGCTTTCTCACAGTTACTTAAAATTTAGTTAAGTGAAGGTTCATGTTATATATAAGATTAGGATGTTTTTCCTAGTAAAAATAAATTGCAGTTGTAACATTTTCCCAAGATTAATGATACTAGCAGATTTGCATACAAGAATCAGGGTCATAATAACTCATGGTCATATGGTTGGACACACCAGACACAAGATTTTGTTGTTGTTCATGTGTTTGTTTTTTCATTTCAAGTGATTCTAATTAGTGATAAATGACTAATGTACCAGAGAATAAACTAGAATTATTTTCTTAAATAGAATGCTCAGTCTGTCAAAGTTTTCAAAATAGCACACTGCACAATGAAAAGCAAGCTCCCTGGAAATATTGATTGTTATTTAATATTTCCCCATTACCAGTACATCTTAACCAAAAGTAAATTTTGGTAAAAACTTATTCCTACAAAGTGACTAGAAGTTGTAGTATGGAAGAAAAGACATGTACTTTGTGGATACAAGATCCAGGGAAGCATGAGGACCCCCATCTAACAAATCAGATGCTGCTCAGAGCCTGAGAGCTATTGGAAGCCTTAAGAGGTTCATGTAGAGTCAAGTTCACGGACAGTGTGACCATATTTTTCCATGAGAATCAACGGGCCATTCCCCTTGCTGGAAAGGGAATCAAGTTACATACTGCAGGCTTGGATTTTATTTTAAAGTGTCATGCTCAATTAACACATATACACTAATCTGTTTTCTGAAGTTATATTGTCCTAGAATTCTGAATTGTGTTATAAATTATTCTTTTAAAATGTCCACAATAATCCTCTTCTGGCAGCTATCACAAAAATTTAAAGTTGTTCTAAAATCTACATCTATAAAAATAAACAAAATACCACAATTGTTTTAAAATGTTTTTCCTGCCATACTAATAACATCAACATCCAGAGTACTCATTGGCAATATAAAACTATAAAACTGACATTGGTGATATGAAGACAATATTGGTCCTACTCCTCCTGCCCTCTGTCTGGGGAAGACCTTGGTCTTTTTTTCTACATATTGACACATTCTCCACGGAGTATTCCTTAATCTCCTTTGTTTGAGAAGATTGCAATTTATCCAAGTTTCTTTTCCTTACCACACAATTAACACCTCATTATACAGTAGCTAATGCACTGATTATTTTTGTCTAGCAATTTAGCACTTGATAATAAATGATTCTGTTCTTCAATTTTCTTTGACTATGCTGCCTGGCTCCCAGTCCTGTTATAAACATTGTGTGCAGACCCAGGGCCTTACTGCCTGAGATCCAGCCCTGCTCCTTTAATTACGAGTGTGTATCATCTCAGGAAAATTACATGGACTTTTTTTGGCCTTCATTTTCTTAGTGCAGAATGGAGACCATGATAAACAATACAGTCATATGGATTGTTGTCCGAAGTAAATAATGATTACGTTCAAAGTATGTAGAGCTCTCTTGGAGATGTAGTAGTGTTATATAATGTTAGCTATCATCATCATTGTTTTATTGTTATAGTTATTTTTATCCTCAGTGCTGATGACCCTCAGACCATAGCATTTGAACTATGCCTTGCACGGGCTTGATCACACGGTGAGCCTTCCATGAATATAGTCTCCTTGTGCATGAGTGTGGGTGCGACTCATGTTTAAACTCTCAAAAACACTGCATTTGGTTACCCGAGTAGGTCTATGCAGCCATGAAACACAACTGTGAGATGTGGATGAGACAATAGTAGAGACATAAACTTATAACACATCAATAAAAAATGGTGCTGCTTCTAATGCAAAACTTTTCTGAATATCATGATGACACAGAGTGGAGGCATTGAAACAAGCTTGGGGAAGCTCTAAGGATAACATAAACGTAGCAACTATTGAAAACATTTTTGTTTCTTTAATTCTATTTATCTAAATAAATTCAACGTCATCATCTTTGAAAGTTCAAGCTGGGTACGGTGGCTCACATCTGTAATCCTAGCACTTTGGGAAGCCCAGTTTTGCAGATCACTTGAGCCCAGGAGTTCCAGACCAGCCTGGACAACATGGTAAAACCCTGTCTCTTACCAAAATAAAAAAATAAATAAATACATATAAAAAACATTAGCCAGGCATAGTGGCACACACTTGTAGTCTCAGCTGCTCGGAAGGCTGAAGTGGTAGGATGATCTGAGCCTGGAAGTTCGAGGCTACAGTGAGCCGTGATCGTACCACTGCACTCCAGCCTAGGCAACAGAGCAAGACTTTGTCTCAAAAAAAAAATATATATATATATATATATATATATATATATATTATATTACATATATATTATAATATATATATTCTAGAGCAGATTTAATATCAGGGGAGCATTAAATAAATTAGATACATCCACGTGGCAGAATATGATACACCCATTCAAAATGCCATCATAGAACATATCGAATGTAAGGAAAGTTGTTCATGATCAATGTTAAGGGAACAAAGGTCAGTATGGTTGAAGTTTCATGAAGAATGAAGAGGCGGAAGAGGAAGCAGAGAAAGAGGGGGAGGAAGAAGGGAGTAGCAGGAAAAAGGAGAAGGAGGAAGAAGGGAGTAGCAGGAAAAAGGAGAAGGAGGAAGAAGGGAGTAGCAGGAAAAAGGAGAAGGAGGAAGAGAGGGAGAAAGGGTATTTTCTTTCTGCTGAGTAAATTGAGTTTGAAACAAAAATATTTCTGACTGAAGAGTTTAATCTAAGCTTTGCATAACTTGAATCTATGCGTGAGACTCAGTATTATTGAGGAGGGGAGGTAAGAACAAGAAAACAATGTAAACGTCCCTTGCAGAACAATTTCTCTTGTTTAAAAATAGAGTACAAACTGAGATGCTGCACATAGCTCAGAAAAATCACATGTATATTTTTTATCTGAAAAAAAAAACAGATTAAGAGGACTATCTGGAAACAAATTTAATAATTGAGCAGTCTTAGGACACTCAGGGCAAAGGAAAGAACAATAAGGACAAATAGAAATCAACGTATATATGTTGTATGTATGTTTCTTAATTTACTTTACCTTAAAATCATGCTAAATAAGAAATAATTGTATATTGATCTAGAAAGCCGTCTCACTTTATAAACACTGCAAAATAAGCTATACATGCAGTTCTTAATTTGTTCCATTGGAAAATTTTTATAGAAAACACAAAGAGTATATATTTGCATGTTGTTTACATTTGCATGCCATCCCACGTGATTATTTTGAATTATAAATTAAAGTTAGTAATATTTATTCCATTTGTCATATTTAATCTTTTCTACTTTAACATTGTTTATTAGGATGAGAGTCATGAGACCTTTTGAAAATTAAAAGAGGAGGTCTTTAATCTGACTTGGTTATAGACACAGGCCTGGGGAGCTCATCAAGATTCCAAGCAGGAGACAATTAAAGTGTCAATCTAGTGAGATGTACAGGCTTTCTTGAAAACTCAAACGTAAGACACAACTTAGGCAATAAAATCTACAGGAAGTAAATGAAAAATGCTAGTGCTGACTGTCTATTCTGATCAATTTATTATTGATGTTGTTATTCATATATCAGAATGACTAATATATTCATAAATTTCAATTACATTACTATTACAGTCAGGTGGTATGTTAGTATTATTTATTTTATATAAGAATATGAACTAATGATATACATATATTTATACAAATACTTATATCCAGATAGATATTCTCCTCCATTCATGCATTTAGGATTCTATACCTATTCTCTAAAAAAAATAAATCTTTTCATGAACTGAATCAAAACTTCAAGCACTATGGCTATTCTCAATTCCCAATAGCAAACAAATTTCATGGTTCAATTCCAAATCTCTATTATATATGTGTGGCTTGTACTACCTAGCAATTTTTATTTACAGGTTAAACAGGAACATAAAAAAGTAAAAAAAATGCAAATAAAATTGGCAAATATATAAATAGCTGCATGTATAGGTGCTTATTTCATTTTCTAAGATGTCTGTATTTCATGTTATGGGTTGGAATTTGTCCTGAATACATTACAACCAAAGGCATGTTTTCACTGCTCAGCCAAGAAATAGTTTGTGGGTTATGAATTTGGTTAAAACTAAGATCATAAGGTGATAATAGGGGTGAATAGTTTCTGAATAGAAGAGTCACAGGTAAATCAGAAAAAAAGGAGAAGAAAGTAAATGTTTAGTGGCATCCCATTTTGGGAATAGATAGGCTGTTACATCAAAAAGAAAAAGACAGCAGTGAGATACGGGGGACAATAGAACTCTCCCACATATCCCTGTATTTGCTTACAAATATTTTCCTTGTCTGACGTAAAACAAATAAAAAAACGTACATTTCATTTAGATGCTGTGTATAGAGGGAGAACGCAGATACATTTGCTCTGGCAAGAACATTTAGTAGTAATTAGATGCCACAGGAAGAGGAGGTGGCTGAGACGGCTGAGATGGGGACTTGGAACAGAAATCTGACATGCAAGGGCTTTAAATACAAGACAAAGGACAGTCTGTAACTATACTAAGGCAGAGCTAGAAACTTCTTTCAGATACGTTATTTGAAGTTATTTGAAGAACCCCAGTAACCCTCTTCATAAAAAGCATCTTTATGTTGTTTTCTTTTTTAAAAAATTTTTCTTTAACTTCTGGGGTACATGTGCAGAATGTGCAGGTTTGTTACATAGGTATACATGTGCCATGGTGGTTTGCCACACCCACCAACTCATCATCCAGGTTTTAAGCCCCGCATGCATTAAGTGTTTGTCCTAATGCTCTCACTCCCCTCACTCCCCACCCCCTTACAGGCCCGGGTGTGTGGCGTTCCCCTCCCTGTGTCCATGTGTTCTCCTTGTTCAACTCCCACTTATGAGTGAGAGCATGCGGACAAACACCTTTATCTTAAAGAGTGTTGTCCAACTTGTTTCTTGCTCGTTAATGTTGCTGAGACAGATCTGTTTGAAGATATCCCACTATCTGCTTGAAGCCATCGTATTTTACAGCACACACACACACACACACACACACACCATCCTTGGACATGCCAGCAGATGTCCCTACCTAGAAAGTCCACTCTTCTGTTCCGTAGTCCCTGATGCATGGCTCTTTTTCTGACACACCTTTGTCCCGCCCCACTACAGTGCTTGGCAGAAATGGAGGAGAGAAAGAACATTTAAAATATGATGCCAAACATGGCCAGGCGCGGTGGCTCACACCTGTAATCCCAGCACTTTGGGAGGCTGAGGCATGCAGATCACCAGGTCAGGAGATCGAGACCATCCTGGCTAACATGGTGAAACCCTGTCTCTACTGAAAAACAATACAAAAAAATTTAGCCCAGTGTGGTGGTGGGCGCCTGTAGTCCCAGCTACTCGGGAGGCCGAGGCAGGAGAATGGCATGAACCCAGGAGGCAGAGGTTGCAGTGAGCTGAGATCGCACCACTGCACTCCAGCCTGGGCAACCCAGCGAGACTCCATCTCAAAAAAAAAAAGAAAGATATTATGCCAAACACAACCGTGTTCAAAACTGATTGCACAGCAGAAAAAAAATGTTACTGAACGCAAAAACTTATTTCAGCTGATTTTGGCTTTCAGGATGATATTGTGATTCCTATCAGGCAGGTGGCTTTTAGAGGAAAACGTTTCTAGTTTTGAGTTTGGAATTGTATGTAGCTACCTCCTTCCTAAGTGACTTGAAACAATAGAGCAAGAGTTTTCACTGACTGGAGCCAGTTCAGAAGAAAGTGTGGAGTTGTCCTAAAAGAAGAAAATATGATATTTGAAGAGCAGCAGGGAGCAAAGGGCCCAGAAATGGATGAAAGGCTTTGCCCCCTGGGGAGGAGGTCCATCAGCAGGACACTCTGTGAAGTGACTGGGGCTTTAGGTGCAGGCCACATAAGAAACTGTTGAACTGTGACACAAACTGTTTCATTACAGCAAAGTTCAGTAAAGATGTGTAGCACGCAATGTCCTCAAGCCTTTGGCATTGTGGAAAATTATTAAAAGGTGGTTACATCTTACATTTGGGTTTACTTATAAGATGGGCTACAATAAGCAGCTAGATAATTCAGCTGCAAACTGAAAGAGGAAGGAAGGAGGGAGGGAGGGAATGAGAGAAGGAATGAAGGAATGAGGGAAGGAAGGAATGAAAGAGGGAGGGAGGGAAGGAGGGAATAAGGCAAGGAGGCAAGGAGGGAAGGAAAAAAGGAAGGAAGGAAGGAAAAAGAAAGGAGGCAGGGAGGGAAGGAGGAAGAAAAAAATATAAATCAAAGATGACTATGAGAATCTCTACAGTCTATATTAAATTTTCCATAATAGGTGGGGGCTTATGCAGGTGTGTGTGTGTGTGTGTGTGTGTGTGTGATATTAAATAAGAAGGAAAGCCCAGATTAAAGGACTTGGAGACACATAGGTTATATTAAAATTTAACAACATGAGCTTGAACTATGGGAAGCAAGTATTCCATTTATTCAATCATCTGTGTAAATAATTTTAGGCACAACGTTAGGTTCTGGGGGACAGAGATATTAATAAAATGGTCTCTTTATCCTGGGTGTTATTTTTATTTATTTATTTGTTTATTCACTTTATTTATTTATTTATTTATTTATTTATTTGAGACGGAGTCTCGCTCTATCTCTGAGCCTGAGTGCAGTGGCGGGAACTTGGCTCACTGCAACCTCCACCTCCCTGGTTCAAGCGATTGTCCTGCCTCGGCCCCATGAGTAGCTGGGACTGCAGGCGCGCACCACCACGCCCAGCTAATTTTTTTGTATTTTTAGTAGAGACGGGGTTTCACCATGTTGGCCAGGATGGTCTCAATCTCTTGACCTTGGGATCCGCCTGCGTTGGCCTCCCAATGTGCTGGGACTACAGGCGTGAGCCACTGCGCCTGACCATGATTAATGAGTTAAGAAACAAAGTAGAAAGAAACCTTACATTTGGCGCAAGTAATGTGAACAAGCATACACTAGGTGAAACTTCCGAATATTCACAGTTATAATAGTTAAAACAAAAAGCAAAACTACGGAAATATAACAGCCATTTTAAGTTCACCGATAGGATGCAATTCTATCTGGAAAAAGATTCTTTCCATTATCTGGCAATCAAATGTCATTCAAAGACATCAGAAACTCTTGTAGACTCCTTGCCTTGCTTTTCCTGGATTTAAAAATCCTAGAGCTATTCTCACAGACCGTATGGGTCAGGGCTCCACACAAAACATAGCATTTTCCACCCTGGAAACTTCGCAATGGAAACTTTGCAAAGTTCGGGGTGGAGCTAAGGGAAACAAACAGGAGACACAGGAGGAACAGAAGCCAGGACTCTCAGGGAGTTATTGCCACTGCCCTGCCTCATGGGGCAAAAAGAGGTGGTTTCCAGAGCCCAGAAAAGGGCTGCAGTGTAGAAGTGTGTCACTGGACAAGGCCTGTGCCTTCTGCCAGTCAGACCCCCAAACCTCCTGAACCCAAGATCATGGGAAAGGGAAGCAAAATTTTTTTTTTCAAAATTTATCATTGTTTCCTTGGTTCCTAGACCTATTGACCTCAGGTATGACTAAGAGGTGGCACCAAACATTGCCTTCCGGTTTCATGCTTTACTGTGACCTTGCAGGGCAGTGCCTTAACAATGAAGGTGCCGTCTCCCAGCTAATGACTTAGCTGAGTCTTCAATAGGTCGTTCTCCATGTTGTGTTGCAACGTGGTGGGGCACATGGTCAACCACTGAATTTATATTTGTCTCAGGCGTCTACGGGTTGTCTGGGAAATTCTGCTGCTCTGAACTAGAACTGGCCAATCTCAGCTGGGCACTTATTCACCTGTGGCCAGCTCATGAGCAGGCTGGGAGCTGGCTGGCCTAGAATATTCCCAGCTGAGACAACCCAGTTTTTCTCCACCCATCTCATCCTCCAGGGGCTGGTCCAGCCTGTTCTCCTGGTTCTCAGAAATAGTGTGCCTGGGTTCTCAGAAAGAGTGTGCATGTTGTCAAGTCTCTTCTTGCAGCATGTTTTTTGCTGTCCCACAGGCAAAAGCAAGTCTCATAGCCAACCCAGAATCTATGTGGGAGGAAACTAGGAATGGGCGTGGAGACAGGGAGAGGTGGAAAATGAAGAACTTTAGTGCAATCTACCAGAGGTACGCTGGCCTCAAAACATAAGTTTGAAGGTGCTCCTTTTTAATTATTTTCTGGATGAGTTTATGAAACATTGTTTTCAGTTATTTCCTAAATGCTTAGAAGAGTTTCTCAGCAAAGTCATTTATGCCCAGATTTTCTCTTTTGGCATAGTTTCAATTACATTTAATCAATTACAGAATCAATTTGTTTAATAGCTAAACAATAATTTTAAGGTTCTCTTTCTAGTCTCAGTTTTGGTAAATTTGTATTTTTTAATCAAACTTATAATGTATTTTTTTCAATATTTGTCATAATGTGATGTTTTTATGTATGTGGGATTTGTAATCAGCCTTTTGTGATTCTTGATTTTTTTTTATTTGAAACAGAGTCTTGCTCTGTTGCCCAGGCTGGAGTGCAGTGGCGTGATCTTGGCTTACTGCAACCTCTGCCTCTTGGGTTCAAGTGATTCTCGTGCCTCAGCCTCCAGAGTTACTGGGACTACAGGCACCCACCACCACACCTGGCTATTTTTTGTATTATTAGTAGAGATGGGGTTTCACCATGTTGGCCAGGCTGGTCTCAAACTCGTGACCTCAGGTGATCCTTCCACCTCGGCCTTCCAAAGTGCTGGGATTACAGGTGTAAGCCACCATGCCCAGCCGATTCTTGATATTTTTAATTTGTGTTTTCTGTGTTATTTCTTGCTAGGATTTTATCAGTTGTGTTAATTTTTTAATATTTGGCTAAGAGGTAGTGCCATAAAATATAAAAGCAAGACATTCATACTGGGCAAGGAGCACCACCAGATTGTAATGAAGATCTGACATCTTTGAAAATAAAGTTAAAAATAAACAGTGAGATGGTTCATAATACACTGAACTATATCAGTAGCAAGGATGTGCACACGAGTTAAAATTTAATTCCTATGTGGAAATGTTGATGAATAAAAGAATATTGAACCTGGGGAAGCCCAGATCTGGGAATTCATGAAAACTATCTTCAAATAGTGGAGAGGCTGACATACGGAAGAGGGGTTAGTTTTTTTCTGTGCTTCCCCAAGAGGTTGGAGTAGGTAGGATTTACTAGTGAAAGTTATAGGGAGATGGATTTCAACTTCATTAAGGGAGACTATCATTGCTGTGCCAAGCAAGGATATCTTGGCTTAAGTTGTTCAAGGTGAAGCTGGATCCCTGCTTAGTGGAAATATACAGGGCTGTGGGTCTCAATATGTTCTCTCCCTGAGATCTTGCAGGAGTTCTGCGAGACCAAAATGTTTTTCAGAATTACACTGAGACCTCGTTTGCCTTTTGTGTTGCACTGATGGTGCACAAGCCATAGTGGAGAAAACTACGGATGGCTGAGCACAGATATGAGCAGCGGCATGAAACTACGTCAGCAGCGAGTTTTATTTTTATCCATTAGAACATTAAAAGGAATCAAGTGTTGACTTTATTTAAGAAACAGCACTAAAATAAATTAACTTACAATATCGACCCTTCAGTACACATCTTTTAAACATTCCTTGTGATAGCTGGGAAATATGCATACTTAGCTTCTGGAAGTCAAAGTATGATGATTATTTTAAGGAACAGCACTTGTGAGATACAGTTGTGAGTTGATTTTGTTACTTTTTCATGGAAAATAATTTTCAATTGAAAAAATAGCTAACAAGAAATCTTAGGTTATTCAGACATGGGTATTTAGTAGACATTTTCTTAAACAGAATAAACTGATCCTGTCACTTCAAGGAAAACAACAGATACTATTTGTTGCCAATAAATTTGAGCTTTCAAGTGACAGAATTTTGGAAAACATGGAACCACTATTGTGATCTTGAAGCTTCCTAGTAGCTACCTATTTCTCTTATGATATCAGTGGTGATGGTGTAAGTGTGAATTTTTGATACGATATATTTAAATATGTCAAATTTGGAGGAATCGAAAAACTAAAAAAATCTAGTAATTTCCAAGTGACATCATGCATGATGTTATGACATCATACATAGGTAAAAGATCCATTGAAGGTGGGACATAAACTCATGGATATTAATGTACCAGGGTACAGAACATTCACTGATAAGTTTTCAGATTCTACATTACAATTTTCACATTGATGCTTTTAAGAAATTACCGCTGTTCAAATTTTGGTATGGTATCACCTGAGGATAACCACAGTTATCTGAAAAGGCTATTATAATACCCTTCTTTTCCACATACATCTCTGTGTGATGCTAAAATTTTTTATATACTTCATCCAATACAACATATTTCAATAGCATGTATGCAGAAGCACATAGAAGTATTCAAAGAACCCAGCTATGCTCTGTAAATCAGACATTAAAGACATTTTTCAAAATGTATGGCAATGCATATTTTCCACTTCTAAAAAATATAGAAAAGATAGCAACTCATTAATAAATTGTTAACAGGGTATGGGTTTATTATTATTATTTTTAAATGAATCAATAAATAATCATTTAAATTGTTTCAATTTAACCCTGAATATGCTAAGGATTTATGGATATAACCTACTTAACCAAAAGCTCCTTAGGGTTCTCGAAAATTCTTTAAAATGTAAAGGGGTCCTGAGACCAAAATTTCCAGAACGATTATTACAGATCAGAGAGATGAACTCACCACATGAGCTTTATGAGTTTTTTTTTTTTTTTGAAAATACAACATTTGAACCCAATGTTGTCATTTTGGTGTAGAATATCTTGTTGACTTAGTTCCTTCAATACCCATGAGTAAATTCCCAAACATGAGTGATACCGATTGGTTGGCCAAAATGATTGGGACGAATGTCAAAATCCTTTCATTTTATTGTGTAAGCATGGTTTTATTTTAAAATAAAAGGGATTTCATACCTAACGCTTAATACACGTGTTCACTTATGTCATCTTTAAATAAATATTTATATCAGTCCAAAAAGCCCCTCAGCTCAGCCATAAGCTGACTGGTTCCAGAAGGTGACAGTAGTGTTACCCTATCAATATCTTAGGTGGAATAAAGACTTAAATGGTCTATACTTACATACAACAAAGGCAGGCAATTGTTGAGAGTCCTCTCTTAAAAATAATAAAAAAAACTTCAAATGGGTTTAAAATGTGTAGTATTCATTTTGTTTTACTCTTCCACTACGTTTTATGATTCCCTGGAAGGCACATTATATATTAATAAATGGCTGGTTTTCTCTTGATTTTTTTCACCTTATTCTTTCCAAATGGCAAAAATTTGTTTATGAGTGAACTTTAAAAGTTTGAGTAAGATGCTTCAATGCTAATTGAGTTTTTCCCTGGAGAAATCATTTCTAATTAAGATTTTTTAAAAACCTTGGCCTCTTGACCTAAACTTTTAAATGGCATTTTCTCATATTGTTATATGACAACCACACACATGTACCAACTGTACTCAAAATTGGAAATCTTCATCCCTAAAATATATCAAAGGTCTTCAGAAGAGTATTGACCTGGTAGTAATACGTAGTTTATAAATATGGTTATCTATTTTAAAAATCCATTAAATATAGACTGTTATTTCCCAAATAGTGAGAAAACAAAATTTTTTTCTTCTTTGTAACATTCCAGGGCACCTCAGTATGTAACTTTATATACCCAAGAAATGTGCTGTGACTTACAGGGTTGAGAAAACAATTGCTATTCTTGAACAGCCATTTTTTTCATTTGCTTAAGCAAATATTTAACAAATGTCATCTAAGTGCCACAAACTTTGCAACGCACCAGCGTAAAGTGGCAACCACACAAACATGGCTATAAGTAATATTGTTTTTGTTTCATGAAAATCTGACCCTGAACGCATCTGTGATCTGATATTCTTGAGTCCATCATGAGTATTAAGTGCTACTTTGCCATTGCAAATACAGAATAGCTCATGAATTGTTTCAGCATTTAGTATTAGCTCTTATTAATAGGTACGAGGAAGCACTCATTCAAATTTTTTGTGCCCAATAATTACATGGTCTTCACAATAATATTGTCATGTAGACTTTTCATCACCT
Organism: Homo sapiens; assembly: GCF_000001405.40. Classification (NCBI taxonomy): domain Eukaryota; kingdom Metazoa; phylum Chordata; class Mammalia; order Primates; family Hominidae; genus Homo; species Homo sapiens. The sequence goes on along the minus strand of NC_000010.11, from coordinate 4,729,154 downwards.
CTGTTTTTCATACTGATATATATGATCTATAACAATATACCTAAGGTCAACCCATCTAAGAAAGTTAATATTGTGATCTATTGGTTTATTAGTTCCATGATGGTAGACATCATAATAGTTTTTTGAAATTACCTAAGTAAATAAACAATAAATTTGTTTTTCTAAAAAATCACTCTTAAGGTCTATTTTCTTTATAACAGTATATACAACAGAAACTTCAAACTAATACTTACAAAAAATTCAGTAATGTCTCTAAATTGCTAAGCACAAAACTGAGAAACAATGTCAGCTTGCAATGCCATTAGAAGCAATTTTATCAGCCAGTACATGTGCAGAAAGTTCCTGGAATCATTGGCTAAATGACTTGGTTTTCTTCTCATTCATACAGATGTATTAGTGGGATCAGCATTTACAAATAATAGGTGATGTAAAAATACAAAATGTAGAGAAGTGAATCTTTAATGCTTTTAGGAAAGATGATGAGTCCTACTGAACCTGAAATGAATGGTGATTATGATTTAGATAATGAGCTTCCAATAAAGTAGCCATGAGCTTCAGGCAAGTACAAGCTCTTAAGATGTGAGTGACATTAAAGACATTTCTCAAAATTTAAAGCAATGCCTCTTTTCCACTTTTAAATAATTTGAAAATATGGTAACTTTTATTAATAAATGTGTTAACAGGCTATGGGTTTATTATTATTATCACTTTAAAATGAATCAATGAATAATTATTTAAATTTTTCTCAAATTTCACTTTGAAAATGCCAAAGATTAATTGAGGTGTATTGTACATTTAAAATACACACCAGATTTCAAAGATGTAGTGTGAATAGAGGAATAAAACATATTTCATTCATAATTTTTATATTAATTACACACGCAAATGATAATTTTTGAATATATTGTTTAAATAATAGAGTTAATTTAGTTGGTTTAATTTTTTTAATGTCATTACTAGACCATTTAAAACTATTTGTATATGTCTTGCTATATTTCTATTGGCAGTAGTGGTGTAGACAACTGGTTAATAAAAAGTGTAGATTTTTTAAAAATTCGACCCCGCACAGTTTTTTTCATATATTAGCTCCACTTTGATAGTCAATATGAAACTTACCCAATTGTCCCATGGAACTGATGTTTACATTTTTTAAAAGAAACATAGAAATGGACACTCCCAGTCTTAAAACTCGAGAAGCTTACATTTGTCTTATCTGAGTTTCTTTCTCAGGAAACCAACCTTTAGGCCCACTGATGATATAAAGAAACTGAAATTCACCAGATCATTCCATCTGGAGAATGAGACCACAGCCTCCTCACTCATCTTGATTGCCAAACGAATCACACGTTGCCTGCTGACCAACTACTCGTCCTTACCCCTCCCTAATTGCTGTTTTTCTGCAGGTAGTACATTTCTTCTTTGCTATATAAATCTCCAATTTTAGTTGGTTGAGGAGACAGATTTGAGTGTGATCTGTTCTCCTTGGATGCTGCACCTGATTATAGCCCTCTTCCCTGGCAATACTCATTGTCTCAGTGATTGGCTTTCTGTGTGGCAAGCAACTGACCTACAGCACAACCCTGGTGTCGGGGTAACAAAAGTATTCTTGGAAAGGAAGGCGCTGATTTGCAATTAAGCTGTTTCTCATATGGCAACTCTGTATGGTATTTTCCACCCTGTTTAGAAGCTGTGTTTTATTTAATAATGGAAAACAAGTATTCCTCAAAATTTTCCCCGTAAATGGGCTTTCAAATGAATAGAATACTGGTCCTTTTTGAAATTGTGTGAAGATTCTTACATAATGCTTTATTCCATGTTTCTATGATTTAAAATTATGTTTCCAATTCCAATGGTTAAACACAACTTACTTACATACTCCCTACTGTCTGCTTTACACAAACTATTTCTTAATACTGCGGTTGACTGTAACATACTATTTGTATGCTTATACATTTGTTAAACAGCTCAGAATAAAACCCGGATATTTGAATATCTACCCCAAATATAAAAGTAGTATTTTGAGCAGAAACCTGTGATTTTTAACTGCCAACACTATAGTTATTCTTAAATAAAAGATAACATCTTTAAAAATAAACAAAATATGTTAATTTTAAACAGTAAAGGACATCAAAAAAATTTAATAAAAATGATTCTTTATGAATTTCTTTACTATTTATTATTTTTAAGATTCATATCCTGTGTTTGAACTCAACAACTTTTGGACTGGGTTAAGATATATCGTTAAATTCGGCTAAAGCAGTGTTGTCAGATGTTTAGGATTCATATAAATTATTACCCTCTAGTTTATTATCTTCAAATCTTTCTTCAATTATTGAAGAGTTTCATTTAAAATATATTAGAAATAATTTAAAAAGTATATATTTTATATTATATAGTATCACAATTATGAACTTAGAATTACAAAATTAAATTAAAAATCCAGATAATGTTTTCTATGCATGAAAATGTAAAATTTTGGAAATTTATTTTAAAATTCTCATATAATTTACTAAAAACCAATAATAAAAGTGAATGTTTCTAACTTAATGCAACTTACAAAATGTGAAATATTTTATCATAAGTGCCCTCACAATCGACTACTCTCAGGATGGCTAAATTGAACGTATCTCAAAAGTCAAGGTTGGTTAATCTGGCAATGTACTTTTGAACTTGGGAAATATAAGGCAGTTGAAAAATAAATGGCTTAAATTTTTACTTTCCTGATCCATAGCTGAAGTATTTCCATGGCTGTATGGGGATGTCATGTTTGAAAATGTTAAATTGAAGCAAGGTCTTGTGTTAGCACAGTGTATTTGAGGATTTATCATCTATTAAGGACAGACATTTACATATTTGAAAATGTTGATCTACGTGCACATAGCTTGTTTAAATTTGTGAATCACCTCTGCAATGAAATAAGTATAAAGACCTACAGTGTGATCTAATGTTAGAATGAGTCATAGTGGAATTATGTAGTCAAAGCAAACAGTGAAAAGACACACAATAATGTGGAAAGAAATAATGACATATTACTGAATAGTTAGACTTTGAACTTTAAAATAGATATCTGCTAGATATCATTCTAGGGCAAAGCCAACTATGAGAGAGTCATTTTTCTTTAAAAGGAGCTCTTTGTGGAGGCTAAATATAATTACTATTGTGTGATTTATAGACAGCTCTCGAGCAATGTGGATATTTTTATTCCTCTCTCTCTGAGTCTGACTGTTCACTGTTGTTACCTATTTGGATAAAATATCATTTTGAAGTTTGGCCTCTTTAAAAATTCTCTAGATCTACTGGTATAATTTTAATTTGGGACTCTGAATTTTATCACATGAAATTCTAAAAAACAACTATATTCTCAGTGGTCAATTTTCTTATATTACTTCAAAAAGAGAGAAGCTTTGAGTGAAATCCTCTTTACAGAAAGACAGTCTAAATTAGAGCTGCCTCTGTTTAAAGAAAAGTTTTCTTGGTTAATAGTGTTTATAGTATGTAATATGATCTAGCATGTGGTTTTTGTTTAATAAGAATATTTAAATATTAAGTTAATTCAGTATCTAACAATATATGTACGTGGGGACAAAATAATAAGAAAAAATATAGAATGTATAATACAAAAAGAGAATCTTTTTATGTGTCAAAAATGTGTATTCAGGAAATTGTTTTTACATTCTTTAAAACAACTGTTAAGTAGACAGAAATAACAAGATTAAGAAAATATCTATTTATGAGCCAGTATTCAAAAACAAACCACTAAGTGAAAATAGTTATACAGTTTTTAATAAATCTGAAAAAAACCTGTATGGTAAAAACTTGATTTTCTTATCACATTTGCACCCTTTCAAATACATAGATTTATTTCAGTAAACTTATTAGAGGAATGTTGACAATAAAGACATTCTACCTAAAATTATGCAACACGAGATATATAAAAACATGGATAGATGCATGAAACATTATGGATAGTAAAGGATATTTGAAAATGAAACGTTATGGGCAGTAAGAAATATTTGAAAAAAAAGAGAGATTAATGAGAGAAATTTTACCACTAAATATTAAAACACAATTAACCTCTAATAACTACTACTTTTATTAGTGTTGATCTGGTAAAAGAACATAAGACATTGTGTGGCAAAGTTGAGTCCCCAAAACTATCTGTAAGAATTTAATATATGATAACATTGCATTACAAATCAAGGGAAAGCATTGGTGAAAGAACGCAACTCAAAAACATATTTCGATTATTTTTTACTGCCTAAATTTTTAGGAAAAATTTAAAAACTGCATGTTTTATATTATGTACTATCACAGTTATGGACTTTAGAATTATAAAATTAAATGAAAAATCCAGATAATATTTTCTATGGATAAAATGTAAAATTTTGGAAATTTATTTTAAAATTGTCATATAATTTACTAAAAATCCTTAACTAATAAAAATGAATGTTTCTAACTTAATGCAACTTACAAAATGTGAAATTTATCATAAGTGCCCTCACAATCCACTTCCAAAATTCCAGGTGGATTTCACACAAATTTCACGATGAGATAAACGAAAGGAAAAGAATGAAGAAGTAGGAAAATAATAGAGAGAAAGGATGAAGAAAGTGAAGTAGTTAGGGGCAAATTTATGACTACAAGTTATGGATTTAGCTAGGCTTAGAAGCTAAAAGCAAAGATTACAAAATAAAATATTTTAGATTTGAGGGCATAAAATGTAAATATTTTTGGTCATTAAAAACACAATAATCAAGGCAGAGAATATGAAACAGGCACACACCTACAAACACACGCCCAGGTATAAGTGTGCACACACACCCAATGACAATAAAAATGGGCAAAGACATTAACAGACTTGACTAAAGAGGGAATATACATGGCTAATAAAACACAAGAAAATCCAATCCATTGATAATCAAATAATGGTAAGATAGTATATGGTGAATTTTTCTTTTTATAATTTTTGAGGATTAAAATTGTTTGAGGTGAAGTAATAGGATGAGATGGACTCTTAGACTATGCTATTTGAAATATAAATTAGTACAGTCTTTCTGATTATTATTTTAAAAATATGTATCAAGGACCTTAAAAATGTCCATGGCCTTTGATTCAGTAGTTCTATTTTTAGAAATGCATTCTGAAATATGAAATCATGATCAAAAGTATTTAGAACTTACCTTCAACATAAATATTAAAAAAACCAAGGACAGGTTTAATAGGTGGTTATTTACTAGCTAAATAGCATACTCATTTCTAAAGTATGTTTCCAATTAGGTTCAAATGAATGACCCAAAGACTTTCAATATAATCTTGTGTGAAACAATCAGGAGAGAACTGTGTACATTGCATAGTTTAATCTCAAAATGAAATATTGAAATGATAGGCAGGAAGTATACTAAAATATTGAAATTATTTTTCTCTGAGGTATGGGTTTGTATAGGATTTTTTTTAATGTAGGTTTTCTATATTTTTATTTCCATTTCTACATTTCTATTATTTTCACATATTTCCTTAATAATCACGAAAAATCATAACTCTTCCGAAAACCATTAAAAGCCTGTAATGTAAGAGCTATGCCACAGGGCACAGGGCACTCCCTTGCTGAAGCACAGACATTCTTTCCCTCAGTTAGAAAAAGTCTTCTCTAAGGAGGTAGAGCTTTTCCTTTTTTAACATTCATTATTAACACACACCTTACATCAACTTGAAAAGACATGTGCAGATTATAATGCTAAGTGTTTAGGAAAATTGAACCTAGGATTTCAAAAAAAGTGTTCAACAAAATTTCTACTCTTGAATGACAAATGAAAGCATTAGCTAAATGCCACAGGCCAGAAACTCATGCTTTCTAATGAAAAGAGAGGGAAGTAAAGATGAAGACTTCATAAATTATCTTTCAAACAGCTAAAAATAGAGAGATACTTATTTCAGTAAAAAATTATTTAACTTTCACAGCATCAATCACTCTTCATGAATTGACATGCACCTTCTACTCAGTAGGACTATTTCACTACTTCTTTTATGATAATAATTTGTTAACTCTTTGGGCCCAGATTAATGGAGGTAAACCCAATTGAGGACCACTAACTCCAGTACCAGTTCCTCCTTGAATTTCCTGGGACAGGAAGCCGACTTTGACTGAGTTTAGAGGGGCTTCACTAGCTGTAAGTCAAGAGCAGCAGCTCTGGACGGCATTCTGACAATTTCATTGCCAACCCATTTTGGTTTGCAAACAGGAAGTGTAGGTGCCTTGTAGACAAAATGGTGGCAAAATAAGATATTTGCCCTCCATAAAGAGAAGAATGTTTCCAATCACTAGACTCACCATGCCCTCTGGGAAATGAACTTTTCCCTTTGTTACTCATTGATTGATTGATTGATTCATTCATTCATTCAATGCATGTTTCAGGAGAAACAAAAAGTACACAAAAATAAGTAAAACTTAATAAATACTCCTTATAACTTTATAATCTAGCAGAGTAGGACATATTAGTCTCACACTTGTATCGTGTTCTTCTTCCATAATATTTTTACGCACTATGTTGACATAACCCGTGATGGGTAACCACAGAATAGTTCAACTGTTGACACACACCTATACCCTGCTTTACTAAATAGGAGGCCATGGGGGTGATTTTCTTTAAAAACCTGTTGCACACACACAAGCACACACACAATTTGTGGAAAGATTATAAAATAGAAATCTTCATAATCTATCTAAAATATAAATGATGAAAACATTTTAGAATTGTGTTTAAGACACATTTCTATGCTACAAATTCAATGTGCCTGTACCCAGTAATAAGCACCAGATGTTTGCTCCTGGGAGACTGGATAAAAATAAGACCCATGAATGACTTTGTGACCCATTTGGGGATTGTGAAATATGCATGGTTTTTGTAGAGAGATGTAGTTAGCTAACATACCTAAATGTAAGCATGTGACTGATGGGTGGTTGGGCATGGGGATGCAAAACTAGTTTTCCAGTTGGTCTTGTTTACTGAATGATCTCATGTTCTTTTTGCCCTGTGACCTCACCATCAGCAAAACAACATATCCTAGCTGATGGCTTACACTGGGCCTGACAATGAATAGGGAGGGTTTATTTGTTAGTCTGTGTGTGTTTGGTTGTTTTTTTCCTGGATTGCTTGCATAACAACCACATCAAGTTTCCCAACAATAATTTCTGAGATATTTTCCTAATTTTACTTAAGATACTCAGATTATATTGATTGGGGTCTCTTACCTCTTTCAGAAGGTAATCTTTTCTGCAAACTATGATCACTTTAAATAACTGGTTTGTAAGGTCAACATTCTCGACACTAATAGCTTTTCTAGACACTATATTTGCAGCTTGGGTGAAATGGCCCCAGATGGAGTTGCTGGGCTGTGACCTCATGCTCCACGTGTAGGGTACCCATAATTGTGTGTTTCCATTTTATTGAAATGTCCTATATGCAAAACTACAACTCTCAATGAGACTGTGCACAAGTGAACACAGTGTAAGATGTGGCCCTTTCTTGAGGTGCTGTTCTCAAATTGAAACTGACCCAATAGTCCCATAGATAGCTTTTTTGGATAAAGATAGGAATTGCCCCTTCTGGCCTTAAAGCTTAAAACTTACATTTGTTTTATCTGAGTTCTTTCCTCAGAAGAGGACCCCCAGGCCTCTCAAAAAGTATCAAAGAACTGAAACTCACAAGATCACGGCATCCAGACAATGAGACACTAGGCTCCTCATTCATTAGGACTGCTTCCTTACCCCTCCTTAGTTACTGTTTTCCCACACATGGTTACATTTCTTCCCTGCCATATAACCCCCTAATTTTAGTCAGTCAGGGAGATGGATTTGAGACTGAGCTCCCATCTCCTTGGCTGGAGAGACTGATTAAAGCCTTCTTCCCTGGAGTACATGTTGTCTCAGTGATTGGCTTTCTGTGTCGCCAGCAGCAGGACCTCGACTGAACCCTGGTGTTTCAGTAACAAAATGTGTGCTGCAGATTTACTGCTTTGCCTATTCTGCCAGTGGGGGCATTGACTGGAGTGTTTCAGTAGGGACAACCTTGTTCAAATAGATACTCTGAAATTTTATTATCATTTTTTTGTTTACTGAACCATATAACAAATTAAAAATCGCAAAATTCTAGTGATAACATTCAATTCCACCTCTGTAAGAATTCATATAAACTTTTAGTTTTTCTTGATAAGATGTTCTCAAGTGTGTTTTATGAAGTACTAATCTCACTGGCTGCTCTATAAAAAATGGGGTTTGTGTTGAAATAAGTTGGGACATCCTCCCACCTCTGTCTTCCCCTCCCATTGGGTTCCATATGTATTAGCACAGAGCACTAAGAAGAATAAAGGAACCTGATCACATTTGCTTAATCCAAATTTTTCAACTTAACTTGCCCACATGGCTCTTTTCAACAAAACCTGTATAAAACACCATAGAGACTGGATAAACATGAAACAAACCATTGGAAATGCTGACTCAGGGAGCCTCTGTCCAGCTGAATCTTGACTTCTCCTCTTCTTGTACCACACATGTCCTATTTATGTTCTGTGTGTACTCTCTAGTTCTTCTCTATCTCACCAGACTCCAGTTCTTTTTGTCTCACGTTGGTGTGTATTTCTCTGTAAAAAGAACTTTGTCATAATATACAAAAAATGGTAAATTCTGTGACTACATTTGCAAAGTGTGCAAAGTTCAGATTTTAAATGCTGGTTCTTCATTAACTGTATTTGGAAAGTATTACTTTTCTAGTGTTTCCTGTTAAATGCAGTAGGAAGTGGTGTAATTAATTAACACAGGATATTGTCTCTCCCTTTGCATAGTAGCCCTGTAGCATTTTGCCTATTGGATGTTCTAGGTCTGTCATCTTTTCTGTTTCTCCACTATAAATCCAAGATGAAGACAAATATCCTAGTGAACAGAAATATAGTCCCACTAAACTTCCTGCTTAACAACAATACATCTGCTCGAAGAAGCTCCAGAATTTTATTGCTTCACCATTTCATTCCCAGTATGGGGTGCATCACAACATTTTACTAACAGCACTAGTTACTGTATTAAGTATGATACAAAATTTCTGTTGATTTTAGAAAGAATAAATCATCCAGGTATAATTAGACACTTTAAAAATAAAAACTTTTATTCTCTATCTCTCTCTTTCACAATTTTCTGGAATTCCTTTCCATTTTTCTTTAATGTCTTTATTTGTCCTGAAAAGGACCGGGCATTCCATTTGCATTCACATTCATCTCAATGATGTCATGTCCACTTAGGTTCTGTCACTCATGAATCCTCACCCTTGAATTCATCTCTCAGTTTCCTGATCCACTTTGTCCCCACAAAAAGCGCCTACTTAAAAATGTGATGGTATTGCATTTTGTTTGCTCATCTATCTTCTTTTAAAGGCAACAGTCAATTTTGCATTCTTAGTAGCAAGCAGTGTGTGAACTAGCAAGTATCCAATAGTGGTTAAATAAATGGCTGATTTGTCTGCAACATATAATTCTTTATAACTTATATTTTGGTAACAAACTCTTCTAGAGATCCTAATTACAAATTGCTAAAAATTCATACCAGTTAAAATAATACCTTATAAATGTGCACGTATTTTCTATCATGCTGCTCATCATGTGCATACATGTTGTCTTTCTTTATGTGTTATTTTTATTTGCTATTATATAATAGTTTTTTTGACAATGCCTTTTTAATGGTTATTTTGACTGGCTGTATCATAGTTGAGTACTATGTCATTTTTTTATTGTTCAGTCATGTAAGTATGCAACTGTAAGTATTATTGTTCAGCAAACATTTTACTTCTTAGCTATTTATAGTTTGTGAATAATAGAACTAAAATTTGAATCCAGGTGGTCTGGCTCCAGAACTCCTGCTCCGAACTGTCATCATGCACTTCATATCTAGTCTATGTTTCTTAACATGAAATCATCAAAACAAACAGGTATGACAAGCTTTTTGGACAGAACAATGGTTTCATGCATTATTTTTAGAAGCAAAACTCTATAAGCCATGACAATTTCCAGGAATAGCATTGATTCATTAAAATAACCTTTACTTATTTGTGAGTATAAAATCATGCAGTATGGTAGTTCAATTTGTATTTTTCACAGAGTCAAAAAAGTTGTGAATGTTTGTTACCTAGTCATATTTTCACTTGTGAGAATTGTTTTTATATCTTTTGAAAATATGGCATGTGGAGATTTGATTGTATTTTTTGTTTTGAAACTAAGATAAACATTAAAATTTACCTGTTGTAACATGTACACATATATTTCCTAGTTTGTGTTTTTGTTGTAACTTTGTTATTCATTTTAGTTTTAGATGTATACATTAAATTTGTAAATGTGTTTTAGCTTTACATTTTCATTTTGAACTTTTAAATTCGTTTCATTTTTAAATGTTCTGGTCTGCGTTTCTGTCAACCTCAAAGTTGGAGGCATTATTACTTCCAATCGAGACTATCTTTAGCTTTTTAATGTTTTACCCCTTCATCCACTTGGAGTTTATTTTGGTATATAAATTTGCATCTAAGTATTTTTGTTCCAACGATAGCTATGAAAAGTCTATTTATTTTGTCTTCCCAGGTGAAACTCTAAAATCTATCATATGGAATTAGTCATGGTTCCCTCCACTACCATTCACCTGAAAATATTGACATTTATCCACCTACATAATCAAGTCCTAGAACCTGAAAAAAAATCTCATTATCCCATGCCACATCTCAGGTAATAGCTAAGGATGATTGTTATTTACTTAATAAAATGTGTGGGTACCTTTTTTCTGGGCAACGTTTTCCGAATTAGCTTTCTGCTCAATATTATATTTACTTGAACTACAATACCATTGGCCTTTGTTAAATTGCATAGAAATGCATCATGTTGAACCTATTTGCAGTAACTATATGTCTTCGGAGCATACCGCAATTCCAGGAAGAAAATGTGAGAAATCTTCTCTGGAATGAGAGCCCAGGACTTGGCTGCCAGTAACTGCTGCAGGAGAAACAGCCTTCTCTCCCCTGCGTTTGTGTTTCCAGCATCCCGGCCTCCCTCCACACTCTGTTACTTCCCTGGTGGAAGAGGGAGAGGATTATCTGAGTGGGAAGTTCAGAGAGAAGAAGCTGGCAGGCATGGTTAATCCCTTCACTCCTTTCTCTGGGATTCACCTCTCTGCAAGCTGTTTCTTCTTGACTCTTGGCTTTTGTGCATTTACAATAAGACCCCAGGCTCCAGGAAGGGAGCCCGGTGGTAGCACAGACACCTATGGCTGGGAGGATGGGTCTCCTAGTTCTAGGGCTCATTGTTCAGAAGTCCCTAGTACTGCAGTCCTCAGCCATATCTTCCCCCATAGCAGTAATAAGGCTGATATTTTTATCTCCCTCTACCAAACCTCTGCATTTATCTCTTAGGTGGTTCCAAGTCTGAGTGAGTGAGTGTCACTGGTTTTCTTTAAGTCCTCACAGGAATCCAAGATCAAGAATAAATGTGTTGAAAGAAATTAAAATATTAGCATCGTATATACTTAAAGATTCAAGATTCACTTGATCTACTTAATTGAATATTAGCAAAGATAAAAGACACGTTCTCATTTTTCTTCTCTTTGAAGCCTCATATATTCATGCTTGGGGGCTCAGGAGGCTAAAACATACTGAGAATATACACATCTGTCTTCCCAAATCTCTCCTCAATTTTCACAAAACATGTTTAAAAACTATTAATCTTGTAAACAAAAAATATTTGGTTTACTCTTATATTTAGAAAACTCTAAATGTCAAGGAAGCAAAAGTTACAGGTGTGGAATGCACTACCCTTAAATTTAGGGTGAACAGGTGATGGCAGCTGCCACCTGTGGGTTGCAGGGAGTTGACTGTGTGGACTCTTGCTCATGATGGCCTGTGAGTATTCACCTAACACTATCTGATAGCAATATTTTACAGAAATTGTCAAATGCCTCTAGTTTCTTTGCAACAGTCTTAAAGTAATAAGTGGCCAGACAATAGATTATAAAATATAGGGATGCATCCCTCTCAAGTTCAGGTCAGGTATTGTCTACCCCCAGCCCTAGACTATGGGGCCCTGGAAGGTAAATTCTCCTTCTTATTATTAGCTTTGTTATCAGATTGCCTCACAGTACTTATGTATAGCTGGCAATAAATATTGCCTAAAACAACATAATTGGATAATCTGCTAATGGTAAACATGAGTCTCAATAAGAGAACAGAAAAAGTAAGACGATCTGTTGAGCTTTCTTGTGAGCTATATGGTGAATAAAGTGTTTCTAATGGTTTCGTGTCTTTTAGATTTCAGGATAAATAGGTGCATATGAATCAGCTGATTTCTGTTACTGGAGTGCAGTAGTAGTACAGATTTCCCAAGCTTTGAATCAACAAACGCAGAAGTCTCTCTAACATTAGGCCCCTTCCCACTTGTTATTTTGTTGTTCATTGCTATGGGTTACCACATCTCATTCTGGAGAAAACAAAGCAGGTTTTCCAAAGTCAGGAAATCTTACACATCTTTCCAGAGAAGACCTTATATTCGACCCCATCTCAGTTTCCTCGCCTAACGTAGGAAGCAGGAGACTTCTCCAGTGTCACAAAGCTGATCAGGCATGAAAACTGAGTCTCTTAACTCACACACTAGAGTTTTTTGTTTAGCAGTTGTGACCTGGGGTAGACGCTCACTGCATGTATTGCCTTTAAGATGCCTGCTTTTGCACAATTCACAATTGCAAAGATAGGGAACCAACCTAATCGGCGATCCACTGATGAGCGGTAACGAAAATATGGTACATACACACTATGGATACTATTCAGTTATAAAAAAAGAATGAAATGATGTCTTCTGCAGTAACTTGGAGGGAACTGGAGGCTATTTTTCTAAATGAAGTAACTTGGGAAAGGAAAACCAAACACTGCATGGGAGCTAAGCCATGGGCATGCAAGGGCATACGGGGTGGTTAATGAACATTGGAGACCCAGAAGCGTGGAGGGCGGGGGTTAGGGAGAAAAACTACATATTGGGTACAGTATATACCACTAGGGTGACAGTGGTATATGCACTAAAATTTCAGACTTTACCACTATACAATTCATCTGTGTAACCAAATGGCCCTTGTACCCCTAAAGCTATGTAAATAATAAAATAAATATTATTTTAAAAAGAAAAACAAACAAAAAAGATGTCTGCTTTCTAAAAATCTAACCTTTAAAGACTGATCTGACAACAGTTATGAAGGATGGTGCTTAGAGAGAGAAGTTCTATTTTCCTGGGCAGGTGAGACAGTTCCAAAACAACAGCTATTTTTATTTTTCTTTAAATAGAGTTGCTTTTTTTACTGAACAAGACTTGCATTTATAGTAATTTTATGGTACAATATGAATAATGGTTCTTGAAATGCTATTTTTTCCAGGACAAATGTAAGCGCCAAGGCAGTTTTTTTTCCTATTCAATAATAATTATTTCCATTACGCAGAGAAATACTCAGATAAGTGGAACGATATCAAATTATATTTAAAGAAGCTAAAAATGTCTTGTTGGTTAATAGGTAATTCTAAATCAAATAATTAATTTTTTCTTTGTATTGAACCATGCAGAATAAAATTATTCTAATTCTATTCATCAAATAATTTAGTAAACATCTTTGTGTGTCTTTTATAGTTTTATATTCACTGTGCTGTGCTAGGTGTTGGGGATACAGAGATTCAAAAATGTGCAACTAATCCAGACTGGGAAGATAATTTCCTGAAGGCAGTGATATGTGGAGGTAGCTTTAAAAATGTGTAGGAGGTGGATGGGAATATCAAGGAGGAAATTCAGCATCGGAGAAGGTGTGAACTCATCAAAAACACACTTATTTAAGGCAGCAGTTCACAGTTCCAAGTGGCTGGGGCATAAAATTCAAGGTGGCAAATGGTGAGAAAGGAGAGTGGAGGGTCCCACTGGGAACTGATAGTGACTAGAAGGCAGGACTTGGACATCTGCTAAAGATTTAGGGTTTCCATCCTGAAGGCACTGGAGACTCCTAGCATGGGGTCAGGGCTGCATGAAGCTGTGTGGCAAGAATCATGGTTTGGAAAGACCACAAAGCTAATTATGGGATGGCTGAATTAGGGGGTCGAGGCTGCGCTCATTGGTGCCAGCTAGATGCTTGATGCACGGGTGAGGCCAGAGGAAATGGAGATTGGATGGAGATGAGGGTGGTCTGGAATGGACTGAAGAAAGCAGGGTGAGCCCTTCGCAGACCACTAATCTTATATTTTTAGAATATTTTATTTTAATATAATATTTTATAATATATTATTGGCTCAGTAATCATATGTATTTTTAAGTGATGATACCAAATGAGCTATAGTCACCCTACTTGAGGTCTGTGGAAAGGTATTAGTAGTTCCCTTCATCCAAAGTATTACAGACCTCATGTTTAGGCATGTTAAAAACTACAGAATGATCATCTTATTCTTTTTATTAGAAAAACTGTGGGAAATCTATGTGTTTCTTTCCCATGTATTAATACTGTTTGATGATAAGTAAGACAGTGAGCTTTTTCATCAGTTTTTGGGTTTATTCTGGCTTGTCTTTTGTTGCTTTTTCTTCTGATTTGCTTGGTTTTGAAGAAGTTGACAATCCTGGATGTGGACACTTTCTCCTAGAGGAGCAGGAGTGCAAGGAGACGGAACTTCTCTCTCAATGTGCAGGGAGATGCATTAGCTTAACAGCCCTGCCCTCTCATATTAGTCAGAGAAGCAGAACTTATAGGATATGCTATATATGTGTGTTTATTGTGTATATATGTGTGTATATATATACTATATATTACATATATCCACCTCCTACACATTTTTAAATACTTATATATGTAATACATATATATATACATATATATTACATATATATTACATATGTATGTATATATGTAATATATGTGTGCGTGTGTGTGTGTGTAAAGAGGTTTATACATTTTAAGGAATTAGCTCATATGACTATAGAGGCTATAGAGGCTGAGAAGTTCAGAATCTACAAGGTGGGCCAGTAGACTGGAGACCCAGGAAAGCACTGAGGTTGCAGTTTGAGTCTGAAGACTGTGTGCTTGCAGAATTCCTTCTTGTTCACTCAGGGGACGATCAGCCTTTCTTTCTGTTGGATGAAGCCCACAGCATTAGGTAGGGCAATGTGCTTTACTCAAAGTCCACCAACTTTAATGTGAGTCTCATGTGAAAACGCCTTCACAGGCAAATGCAGAATGTCATTTAACCATGTACCTGGGCACCATGGCTGGGGAGTTGATGCAAAACATTTCACAACTGCAACCCTCATCTCCCCGCCCTGCCCCTTCCACCTTCAGGAAAGAAGAGGAGAGAAGTGAGAGTCCTTTCCTTTCTCCCAGGAGCTGGATGCTCACCAGGGGCTGTGCTCTGCTCTCTGTGTTACACTGTGCTTCAGAAGAGCTGGTGCTGTTTCAGGTCTCCCTGATTTATGCAATTTCAATTCCATGCTACAAAATCTGAGTGCACTGGCAAAGAGCTTTTAGAAATAAAGAAGACATCAGATTCTAGACACAAAAGAAAGAGAGGGAGGTGTTTTGGCTTGGCCAGGACATGTGGCTGCAAGCTTTGGGGACAAGAGCTATGGGTCTCCTTGGCAGTTAACTGATTGGACTGGGCCTTGCTGCATTAGGCTCTAAGTCTTGTGACCTGGGCTGCCACCCATCAGTATTGGCCAAATGAAATTTCCAATTTGGGAGGTCACTTAAGCTGATGGAGCCTTTTCCACAGGATGAGGCACCTAACTGAGATGTGCCAGGCTGCAAGAGCAGAACGCTGAGCACAGGACACCAACACTCAGCACAGGCTGGGGTGGGGACTGAGGAAAACAAGGGTGCTGGGCCCAGCAGATGCAAGTCTCACTGGGGACCTCAGCAGATACCTCCCAAATGGCTCACACAGGAAGAGCAGAGGCTAGTCCAAAGCCCGTGTGGCTCCCCACTAGTGGGCCCGTTCATGTCACAACTTAAAGATTGATCAGCTCTTCTTGATTCCCCACTTGAATAGCAATATGCATCTGCTGGATATATTTCACTTTATCTGCAATCCAAACATCAACAATAGCCTAGAAAAATTGGCTTAACCCTTAAGTTCAGGTCGGGTAGACAGTTCACTGCTATTTCCTGAATTTCTTCATATTTCCAGAGAAGTCAGAATCTCATGATCATCTCTGGCTCTGTCATAGAACCAGTAGGTGTGCATGCAGTAACAGTCCAACACTGAGACAGCAAGGACTGCAGCAAAGAACGAGTTTAATGATTTCAGGGTGGCAAGCGAGGAAATGGGAGGAGAGCCTTAAATTTGTCTTCCTAAGGTGTTCTTGGCTGGGGTTTGTGAGGGCACAGTGGAGGGCAAGGGCTCATGGGCAACATCGCCAAAGGGCCCAGGGGAGTAGAGCCACATGCCCCCCCATTCCTATGGGCATCACCCCAAGCCACAATGACAAGCACCCTTCAAAGATTCGTAAGAGGGCTGGGGCTCAGGATGATTAGAGGATCATTCCTATATGCTTGATCCCAAAACACACCCTAGCAAACCCCATCCAGGGAAGGGACTCACATTGCCATGCCCCACCAGAGATGCCATGGCCAGGAGATTGCATCAGTCACTGGGGGATGGGACACTTTGAGAGTGGGCCTTGGGGATCAGGGTGCTTGTGTATGGGCACCTGAGAGCCCATTCCAGGAGGCAGGAAGGTAGCAGGAGTGGTTACCACATGTGAGCTGAGGCTCTGAGCCCAGGACATGCTCCAGTGTCCATGGAACTGCCCTTACAAAACAAAAGTTCCAACATGAAATTATCACAAAATTCAACACAATACCTGCAGACCCTGATGCCCTAAGTGTGGGGACTTCCTGAGCACAGGGCCTGGGTGACCACACTGGCCAGTGTCCATGAGACCATCCCTTCTGGCCAAGGCCTGCTGAGGTGCAGAAATTGCTGTTGTGGATAAATGCAGAGGAAAAAAGTGACCTCATGCAGCCAGCTCTCTTCCTGGTTTTTTTATGTGGAACTACCGGCCTGCAAAAAGCACCTATTTATCTAAGCGGGTCCAGGACATAAGAGTTTCCAGTTTTACAGGAGCACCGCCTCATGGGGAGGCCTACCCCAGACCAGCCTGGCTCCGATTGGGTGTGAAGGCACTTCCATACCAGGGAGTCCACTCACCCAAGATAAGTCACATCCTCCACTAGCAGCCTTATTAAGGGTCATATTTTGGTCTCTCATCAGCCTTGCTCTTATTTTTTTTCAATTTCTCAATCAGATCAAGGGCTGAGCTTATGTTATCAACTGCGTCCCTGCAATCCCAGTAAGAATATGCTTGGTTCTTGCTGAGGCTGACCACGTGTTAAATGCTTCCAGGCCTGCAGAGAGGAAGGGGCCTAAGTAATGTCTGTTCCTCTTATCCCCATGAGCATCAGTCTCTTTAAAGCCCCTCCTCAGCAAGCTGTTCTATAGACACACGCAATACTCATAGGCAGGTTGACCAGCACTCTCTCTTTCTTCCCCTGGTACAGAGGTGCATATGCTTCCAAACTTAAAACTCCAAAGGAAAGGAAATCTTGAATTAAAAATCTGTAAAGCAAGTTCCCTTTTACTGTCTCTCAATAATGAACGAGGTGCAGAATCAATAGCAGCATAGATGTATTCAGAGGGTAATCACAAGAGTTCATTCTGCTTCTGGCCTCGGCCAAGCTGTCCAGCCTCAGAGTTTATGTTCTAATAGCATAGCCTGGCCTTCCATACCCATGCCCACACGCCTGCTCCTTGCTTTTCTGTTTTGTTTTTTGTTCATGCTATTAACTATGCCTTCCTTGCCTGGCTGATTTTTATTCATGTCCCAAAATGTAGCTCGGAGTTGACTTCCTCTAGGGAGGGTTCCTATTGCCATTAAAGTCTCTTCCTTGCATATCCTTGATGAACTATTGTGGGTACCAGGGCCATAACTTCAATTACCATACTGTTTTGGGACAATCTATTTACTCGTCTAACTTCTCTTGCTAGACTTACAGAAATGCAAACACGGAAATCATATCTGTACCTTATTTACTCTTTTAAAGCCCCACCTCCAGTTTAGAGCTTGGTGTAGAGCAGTTCCATTGAAATACTGACCTGAGGACATTTCAACTTATATTTAGTTATGTTCTCATATTTTTCTAAGAGGTTCAAAACAAAACTGATAAACATGTTTTTAAAAAATGAGTATCTGATTGTTTAGAAATGCTTTTTACAGAAAAAGACTGATCAGATTCTAACAGAAGCAAAACTGCCTTTTAAACTATTTATTTTAAAGTTCTTCTCTCCCCATGTAGCTTTTACATGGTCTCGTGAGTTATGACATCAACTTCTTCTATGACCTCCAGAAAGCCGTTTTATGCCTCAGTTACTTTGTTGGTAAAATTAGCGATGATAACTACTGCTAAGCAATATTGATAAAAGTTGTTTGATTTGAAAGTGTTATAACTGAATGCTCCCAAACAATAATTCCAAGCACATTTTTCTAAGGTTCTGATGATTGTGTTAGTGATAAAGCAGAAGGATGGGGTTTCTATTTGACAGTCTGGTATTTCCATCTCTCAAATCAAGCTAGCAGAGTTAAATGTTCTGGTCATATTTAACTCACATCTCTTTTTTCCAAATTATTCAACTATGCCATGGAAAATAATATTTGCTTTATCCTATCATTAGACAGTATGCTGACAGGCTTATAAAATGACAAGATTTTTCATTTCAGTAAACCATATTTAAATCATCATCGTATTCCTTATCTATCTACTTGGAGGTAATTTGGTTTACTGCATTAATGTGAATTTTATATTTTTTGAGTCTTCACTCAAAATTGGTCCTATCATCTATTACCCAAATAAAGACTGTACTCAGAGATAATGTAGTATTAAAGAGAAATGTCTAAGCAACACAAATAATCTAGGAAAATTGTAAAAGAAAGTTTGAGGATAATGCTAAAATTTGAGTTTTGGCCTCAACTTGAGTGCATTGTGCCACATCCTTTGCTGTTAAGTTAAAATGCACCTTTGGTCAAATCATTTCCTTTGTCTACCCCCTGCTGTCATAGTTTCAGTGCTCATGTCTATGTCGATAAATTGTGAACTGCTAGATCTGATTTCTCAGTCTATTTTTATAATCTATTTTCTTTGGATATTTCAATTTGGATATTTCAACCTTTTAAGTTCCAGTGAGCAAGAGTAGACCAAAATTCATATTTGCATTCAACATTTGGGGACTAGGTTTTTTTTTTTATTACCACAATAAATATATGCAGAGTGATTTCTATGCGCGATAAGATTATAAGAGACTGATTGAATGGGTGAACTTTCCTTTGCTTCCTCAGTTTCCCAAGGCAGTGTGAGGGAAGTTTGGTGATCCATGCAGCTGGTGCCTGTGTCAGGTAGGAGGGTCCCAGGGATGGTGGGGGCACCGACTGCCTTTCCCTCCACCAGGAGGCTAGGGGGTGTCATAGTCCACTTAGTGTTGCTATAATGGAACACCTGATAGTGAGCCATTTATAAATAAGAGAAGTTCATTTAGCTCACAGTTTTGTAGCCTGGGAAGTTCAAGAGCATGGCCCTGGCTTCTGACAAGGGCTTTCACACTGTGTCATAACCTGGAGAAGGCCAAGGGGAAGCTGACACGTTCAAACAGAGGACTGAACAAGTGAAGGAGGCTCACTTTGTAACAACCCACTGTCACGGGAATCCAGTCTCAAAAGAGCAAGAACTCACTATTGCAGGAAGGACACCAAGCCATTCATGAGCGATCCAAACCCACGACCCAAACACCTCCCACTAGTCCCCACCTCCAGCACCACCACATTCACATTGGGAATCACATTTCAACATGGAATTTGACAGGGGACAAACTCAACTATAGCAAGGAGACTTTGCAGAAGTCAAGCCTCTGCCTGGAGTTACAGATGGACCCTCTACATTCTACTGCTTACAGGATCTGAGGTCCTATAGCACACTGTACTTGGCCTGCCATGTCCTGCAGAGAAAGAGCATTATACTCAGAAATGAAGGTGTTGTCATTTCCTCAAATCCTACCTCTCCTCACTGTAATCAGTGGACCCTCCATTACCATCAAACTGTAGCCATAGTGAATTGGGGGTGTTGCTGGTTAACCTTCCCTGTTTATACCTCATCAAATCTGGCCACTTCATGAAAGTCTGTTCTCAATCACATTTCTTAAATGTACCCTTTATTATTTCAGCACATATCTGCACAATCAGTAATTTTTATGAAAAATCAGAAACTTCTATTGAAATTAGGTGGTCCTGTTCTTAATCTCCCTTCCAGTTTTTGGTGCATCCATTCTTTCAGTATCACCTTTAACCCATTAGTTGTTGACTAATCATTTGCAGTGTTTCTGCAGTTGTGTCTACAAGACTCAAACTGACCCCTTGTCCTGGTCCCAGTGTTCTTCCAATTCCCACCACTCATCTTTGACATGAATGTCGTCACCATCACAGTCGCCCCCTAGCGTCCCAGTAACAGCCTGCACTGTGGATGGCTGCTGCTGGTTCCCGGGAGCACACCTTTCTCTAGATGACTTCCTTCCTGACTCCCCGGTCCAGATGGCTCTGTCAACTTGATCTATTTTTCAGGAAATGTTATTTGATTCTTCCATCAATCTCTGGAGCACAGTGACCCTGCCTTTGTTTTACCTGCCTTGGCAAGGGGCACAGAGCAGGAAATACTATATAATTCCCTTACAATTCCAAGTAGGGCTTCTGACACAGGTAAAATTTGAGGCATAGTGCCAAAACCATTTCTAAGCAGGTTGGTGCTCAGGGTGGGATACTACCCTGCTGTGAAGTGAAGGCACAGCAGGGAAGCAGGTGTGTCGGAGGCCCATTTCTTGGTATTGTGGCTGGAGAAACCTGTCTGTGACCTTGGGCATTTGTCTCCAAGTCTATTGGGGTTTGAGACTACAGTGGGACAATCAAGACCAGACCTGACACAGGAGTAAAATCTGAAAGTCCTCCCAGTCCTGATCAAGAGTGAGGAAAAATGAGACGGCTGAGCCCACAGAGGCAGGGACTCAGGAGCTGATGTTCAGGGGGGCTCTTTAAAAGTTGCATTTTGTAAACATTGTTAACGTGCTTGCTCAATTATTAGAAGACAGTAAGCATTTGGTAAACATTGTTAACGTGCTTGCTCAATTATGAGAAGACAGTGAAATCAACATAATACAAACTGAGGCCATTTACGCGGCTAAACTTTTTTGCACGTGGCCGTTTTAATTGCTCCTGTCTTTCTAAAGCAAGAGGAAATCCCATTCATTAATTTCTGTCAATCAACAAGAAAAGGATGACATTTTTTAGCCATGTAGCAATATTTTATTGAGGAAAAATCTACCCCTTTTTGGCTCTTACTGTAATAAGTATTCACCCATTTGATCATTAAGAAATAGATTCTAAGTTCCAAGGACACAACTCTTTCAAGTCAAAGGCATTATGTCATTATTTAAATTGTAATACATGTCAGCTTTGGGTCAGAACATGTGTTTCTTACCAGTTGCCTCATGTGTCGTACAAGCCCTATTTGGGAATTGCTTTCAGGGCTTTTTCTTCAGTCAGAGGGGCAAAGGCTGTAACTCAAGGAAGAAGGTGAATTTTGTCACTAATTACTGTCATTGTTCAGAAGGCAATAAACACTTTCCTTGAACAAGGTAATAGGTGAATCCTGCTTCCTGCTCCAACCACCAGCAGAAGGGTTTCTCCCCCACCTCTGGGATCAGCTAGGATAGTGTCAGTAGTTTGCTTTTGTTTGCTTATGTATGATGTACACGTTTGTATTATTTTCTTTAGAGAACTAAGTATATCAGAAGGCAACAGCCCATAATATAAGTTAAAATTGCATGCTGCATGGCTCTACAGTGTTTTATATATTTTTTCAAATTGAGTTCATTTAATAACCAAGTTGACTGTTACATTGGCAATTCCAAGTACTCAGAAAAGACATTACTCTACCTGTTTTATGTATGGATTGACAGTCAGACGTGCTAGATGACTTGACAAGTCTCCCAGTATTCCGAGTCAGTGGCCTTTCTTCCACTCAGTCCTGTATCACCTTCTCCATGGTGGGCTAGTTGAGGA